>NC_000010.11:48324913-48476428 GCF_000001405.40 Homo sapiens
TGAGCTTTGAATCAGTTATTTCATTTGGGCTTGCAAATGGTGTTTTTTTGTTTTTCTAACCCTATCATCCTTTTTTTTTTGAGATGGAGTCTTGCTCTGTCACCCAGGCTGGAGTGCAGTGGCACAATCTCTGGTCACTGCAACCTCCACCTCCTGGGTTCAAGCGATTCTCTCACCTCTGCCTCCCGAGTAGCTGGGACTACAGGCACGTGCCACCATGCCTGGCTAATTTTCATATTTTTAGTAGAGATGGGGTTTCACCATATTGGCCAGGCTGGTCTCGAACTCCTGACCTCAAGTGATCTGCCCACCTTGGCCTCCCGCCTGTCATCCTTCTTGATCAATTAATATTAACCAGCTTTCCTCTGTTAAGAAGACCTTTCCCTCTTGTCAACTGGGATTGAACTACAGTTCTTCCTAACAAGATGAGATAAATGTTTATTTCTCTTCAATATACCAACTCTTTTTAACATACCAATTTTGAAAATTTAACCAATTTGGAGTAGTCATCTTCAAAAAGTGGCACATAACTTTCAGTCTCTCTGTATCACAGGGATTTTTGTTTTTTTCAGAAGTTTTATGATCATTTCAGTCATTCTTTTTAAAATAGTCTTCATTTGTAGAAGTTTTAGTTTTACAGAAAAATTGAGTATATACTACAGTTTCCATATACCCCAGACCCAATTTCTCCTATAATTAACATCGTATGTTTGCATGGCACATTTATTACAATTAGTGAAAAGTATTGGTACATTATTAACTAAAATCCATAGCTTATTCAGCTTTTCTTAGTTTTTAGCTAGTGTTTTTGTTTTGTTTTTTCAAGATCCCATCTGGAATACCACATTACATTTTGTTGTCATATCTCCTTAGGATTTCTTAGCTGTGAGTTTCTCAGATATTCCTTTTTGTGATTACCTTGACTGCTCAAATATTTTGTAGGATACCGTTTTATTGGAATTTGATGTTTTTCTCATTTTTAGACTGGCCTTATGGGTTTCTAGAAGGAAAATCACAGAGGTAAAGCATCATTTCATCACATCCTGTCAAGGGTATGTACTGTTAACATAATTTATGACTTGATTTTGACTTTGATCACCTGGCTGAGGTAATGTTTGTCTGATTTTTCCATTGTAAAGTTACTCTTTTTTCCTCCTTTTCATACTGTAATACTGGGGAAAGGTGACCATGCACAGCCCACACTTTAGGGAGTTATGTCCTGCTTCTTGATGGCAGAGTATCTACATAAATTATTAATATTTGGAATCCTTCTGTGCAGGAGATTTTTATTTTCTCCCATTTAGTAATTTGTTCAGTCATTTATATCAGTATGGACTCATGGTTGCTTATTTTATACTTTGGGTTATAGTCCAATACTATTAATACTTAATTTTGCTACACACATTGTTTCAGATTTGGCCATTGGGAACCCCTTTAGTTAGCTCCTGTGCCTGTGACATACTTCCATCGGTGTGGGTGTTTTGTGAGCACTTACTTTCTGGCACTGCAGGATACTCCCAGCTCATCTTGTATGTTTTCTACCCTAGTCCTGGGATCAGCCGTTTCTCTAAGGAGCACTGTTTCCTTTAATTAGAAAATGGTATTAGAAACAAAGATCTAGGTGCCCTTGTTGCTACTGGGATGTTGTGTTTTAGGTACTCTCAGCAGATAGAGCAAATAAATATATTCATATATTAGAAATATCTGTATATCTATGTGTCTAGAGAGAGATATAAGTATTTAATATTATATATCAGTATTTATATGTGCATAAATATTTGTAACCATCTGTATCTATATAAGCTAAACATGAATTCTTAATGTCTTCAACTCTAATCTATTACCATACGGATCATTCCTGGTCCTCCCGTTACTGACCAGTAAATTTCCTCCAATAGCGGGAAACCTGCCTCCCAGCACACACCATTTATTTACTTAGTTGTTCAATTCCAACATAGGTCTTATAGCAGTATCAGAATTGTTAACTCACACCCAATGGAAACAGCTGTATCAACTAGGAGTGTTTTTTGTTTGTTTGTTTGTTTTTTGTTGTTCAATTCTTCAGAAATTTCTAAGTGGACAATCATGTCATCTGCAAACAGAAACAGTTTTATTTCTTTTCCCCCCTCCGTCTGCATGCCTTTTCTTCCCTTTTATTGTCTTATTGCAGTATTTAGGACTTTAGGTATGATGTTGAATAGGAGTAATGGGAGGAGACATTTTTGCCTTATTCTTGTTCTTGGGGGGAAAGTAGTTTTTCACCATTAAGTACTATGTTCACTGTAGAGGGTTTTTTGAGGGGAGTAGAGTAGATTTTTTTAAAAAATCAAATTGAGGAAATTCTTCTCCATTCTTGGTTTTCTGACCGTTTTCATCATGAGTGGTGTTAGATTTTGTCAGACGCTTTGTCTGCATCCATTGATATGACCATTTGATTTATCTTCATTAGCCTGTTGATGTGGTGGATTAGGGTTACATTAGTAGATTTTAGAACCAGCCTTGCATACCTGGGATAAATCTCTCCTGGTTATGGTGAATAATTCCTTTTCTACATTATTGGATTCAATTTACTAATATTTTGTTGAGGATTTTTGTTACCTGTGTTCATGAAAGATACTGGTCTGTAGCTTTCTTTTCTTACCATCTCTTTGTTTTATTATTATTAGAGTAAGGCTGCTCTTTTAGAATAAGTCAGGAAATGTTCCTTCTGTTTTTATTTTCTGCAAGAGATTGTAGAGAATTGGTATCACTTTTTTCCTTAAATGTTTGGAATAATTCACCAGTAAAACTGTTCAGGCCTGGTGTTTTCTGTTTTAAAAGGTTAATAACTGTTGATTCAATTTTCTAATAGATACAGATCTATTCAGATTATTGATATAGTTTCTTTAATAGTTAACAGGTTTGTTCAGGTTATCTGTTTTTCTTTGTGAGAACTTTGGTAGATTGTGTCTTTCACAGAATATTGGCTTATTTCATCTTACTAAATTTTTGGTGTACAGAGTTGTTCATAGTATTCCTTTGTTGTACTTTTAATGTACTTGGGATAAGTAATGATGACCCCTCTTCCATTTGTTACATTAGTAATTTGTGCCTTCTCTCTTTTTCTTCTTTTGTTTTTTTTGAGACAAAGAGTCTCACTGTCACCCAGGCTGGAATGCAGTGGTGCGATCTTGGCTCACTGCAACCTCAGCCTCCTGGGTTCAAGCGATTTTCCTGCCTCAGCCTTCCAAGTAGCTGGGATTACAGGTACATGCCGCCATGCCCAGCTAATTTTTGTATTTTTTAGTAGAAATGGGGATTTCACCATGTTGGCCAGGGTGGTCTCGAACTTCTTGATTAGTCTGGCTAGAGGTTTAACAGTTTTATTTATATTTTCAATGAGCCAGCTTTTTTTTTTTTCTTTGTATTTTCCTGTTTTTAATTTCACTGATTTTGACTGTAATTCTTTTTTTTCTTCTGCTCACTTTAGGTGTTACTCTTTTTGATGATCAGTTGTCTCACATTTGGCCAGTGAGAGTCTCTTGAGGTGGCTGCTGTGTCCATTTTGATCTGACCTGGTTGATCGTTGAATGCTTCCTTGCTTTCTGGCAGGATAAAATGTATTTCAACCTGTACTTATCTTGCCTTAACCTGGGACACTCCTTTTCTTTAGGAAGTTGGCTTCAGTCTTAATTTTATGTGATTGCTCACTTCTTTCATCTAAACTTTAAACAGATTTGACACATTGAGATCAGCACTTTTGCCTTTTTTTGGTAGTCAACAAGAGCAACTGAGGTGTCCTGTTGATGCTAGTATTTAATGTCTTAAAACTTGTCTTAAAAACAGAACATTTTCCTGTTCAATTTATATAAGCAAAAAGACACTTTAACTGTATCCAGCCAAACTCTTCTATGGCATCTCTGAAAGTAATTTATACTTTGCCAGTTTGTACTTTTGCTAAGAGATAGTTGAAAACCACACCTTTTTAAGAAGTTCAGAAATTGAGGATGCGGTATTCTGAATTATCTAATTTGATTTTTCTGCATCTCTACAGTTGTTTCATTACTTAGTAAAGCGTTTCCAACTTTAGCTTCAGGGTTTTTCTTTTACTTTTAACAAATATTATGTGCCAACACTTACAAATAGTAACTCATTTAATTATTTTAACCTTGCTGGTAGATATGGTTATTCTCCTCTCTCCCTCATAGATGGGGAAACTCAGGCAAGATGAAGTTAAGTAACTTGCGCAGGGTCATACACGAGTGGCAGGGCCAGAGTCTGAATCCAGACAGTTGGCTCCAGACGCCAGACTCCTAGCCACTGCTTTGTGCTGCCCCTCTTTCCTCTGCTAGTTAAGTCGAAAAAGTTGTTTGTGATTCTGCATCTTGCTTTCCTCTTCTCTTATTAATTATAGTATAATGGGTGTCACTCTTATTACCATAAGCCTTAGTATGGCATTGCGAGCACCAGTTAATTAAGCAATAACGTTTTGAGATCCCTAATTGGAAGAATTCAGAGCGGTGTATTGCTTTGAGTTAGTTGGCCCTTTGCTGCAACTCTGGCCATGAGACAACGTTATCTTGAATAGTGATAATGTGTAAAAAGATGAGGCCTCCTTTTTTTTTAAAAAAAAAATTAAATTCATTTAGAGTATGAATTTTAAAGTAGTGTAGTCAGTGATGATATAAGATCAAAGAATAAGTGAAAACACTTCATAAGGCACAGAGAGCTAAATGTGTGTAACTGTTTTATTGGTGTACATAGTTACTGCTGGAACTACAGAGGAAGAATCATTATTTTATGGGAAGAACATATGTTACTGGAAATCCTAGATTCTTAGATCACAATTCTAAATTCCAGTTCTTTGATGTGTTAACATAGGGTCCATTGCATCCTATTTACTGGTTTATTTTTATCCTTGCTCTGCTTCTTCATAATTGTAATTAAGTAAAACTTTCTGGTTCCCCAAGGTCAGGGCATACTCTTTTTGAAAATAATATTAACTACTGCTGATGAGAGGAAGAGAGCAACAGGAAGCATTTAAAAAAATTTTTTTTAAACTAACGGCAAATATAAAATATTTAGGAAAAAGGTAAAGATTAAAAGTACCTATAGCTAGTAATATTTTGGTGTACTTCTTTTTATGTATTTTGTGCACATGTGAGAGAGATTTATATACATGGGTACACACATGTATAATTTGTAAGGATACAAAAATCATATTAGCTTACGTTAATTGAGGACTAGAGTACTGATAACTGCTTTTATTTAAGTCTAGGAAATAGATTTTGTTTAAAAGAAATGTATTCTTAATAGAGAAATAATTTTTATAAAATAAGAGATTTGCAGCATTGCTTTTTTTGTATAAGTATGCTAAGACTGCCATCTCTTTATTTAACAGGAAGGAGTTTTAAACTTTAACTTAATAGGAAGATGTTTCAGGGGTTCTCTGAAGTCAAGAATGTTTTCATATAATACTAGAAGTGTTATTTGCCTTTTTCATGTCTGTTCTCAAGAGTTTTTCTGAGGCCATGTGACTTGCCCTGTGATGTGGCAACAGACTGTATAGAAGCAAATGAGAGAACCCAGCTGTCTGAAATTAAGCCAGACCATAAAGGGATTTGCAGAAATGTAGAACAATGTGTGAGAAACACATTCACCCGTCCAAACCCAATGAATGGACTCAGAGACATGAAGAACAGCGGAAGTGAGACTTTCAATGGCAGTCTTGCAAGATCAGGTGTCTGGTAGGCAGGCACACCCGGGGCAGGTACAGCAGGTAATTTATCTCCTAGCACGCAGGTCTCTTCCCCAGTTCCTCACTGGTCGAGTACTATGGGGTTACAGTCTTCCCGGACGTTGCCTAAGTTTCATTATCCCCCTTAAAAGGTTATACTCCAGTCCCCTTCCCCCCGTAACTTTCAATTTCCCAATAGCAAAACTTTCTTCCCTTTTATGGGCTGACCCCTCCTCTACATTCTGATCACTTATCATGACTTTATAGGTGCATGAGCCATGCAATTTGTCACATCCGCAGGCTGACTGCCAGTACTTAGATTTGTTTCTCGGTCTAGAATGGATGGATTGTCATTGGTGATGAGTATAGGATTGCATTCTAAATTGTGGCAGTTATTTGGCAGGGAGCCCTTGGACAGATGTAGTTTATTCTTCAAGGGTCTCCAGCTTAGAGTTACCCACCCCGTTTACTGTCCAACCCTGAAAATGGGTAGTCTACCATACATCATCCCAGCTGGGTGGGGCAGGATGATGCTCTACTGTAACCTGTATCTGGTTCAGGGCAAAGGTACTTATCTGCCTGCGAGAGCTATCCCTGATTTTCCAAATTCCCACAAGGTAAGACCTGGCAGGCATCAAATCTTACAGTCTGGGATGCTACTGTCTTGGTTACACTAATTACCAACCTCATTGGATAGGGAGGAGTCCCCTGCCAGTTTCCATTTTGACCTTCTGCTTTTTGTATAGTAGCCCATCCCAGCCATATTAACTTCGAGAAATGGGGCCAACCCATGTTTTCTTTTTAGATTTTTCTCAGAGTTAACTTTAAGGGTTCCTCAGTGCACTTTCCACTGGTCTTTTCCCCTCCCTTCCAGGGTCTCTTTTACCAATCCCTTGACTCAAGGATAGTGAGTCCACCCCTGTTCAGCTGTTTGCACAGCTATCTTAGTGGGGACCTTCCCAGCTTGGGTGGAGCTTGTCTTCTTTCCAAATCTTAATCAGCACCAAGTTGCCAGGCTGGAAGTGGTGAACCGTGAACTCAAGAGGTGGCATTTGAGTCAGAAGTCCTCTTAACCTAAGGGATGACAGGGTGGAGGATATGGCCAGTATATAATTTCTTAAGCATTGATCCATGGTTTCCATAGTAGGGAGGATCTGTAGCTCTGCCCAAATATGGGTGCCCCTATAATAACTCATAGGGGGATAATCCCAAGTATTTTCTTGGGGCTGTCATAATCCTAAGGAGTACTATTGGGAGACATTTGGTCCAGGGTATTTTAGTTTCTAGATTAGTTTGGTGATTATGCTTTTTGAGAGTTTGATTCATTCTTTCTACCTTTCCAGAGGAAGGGGGATGCCAAGGGGTATGATAATCTCATCTAATTTGTAAACCTTCCATAATTCCCCTTAACACCCTTGAGATAAAGTGGCTCCCATTGTTTGAATCAATATTTTCTACCAGGTCAAATCTAGGTACAGTCTGTTCTAATATTATTTTGACCACATTACTGGCAGTGGCTGTTGGAAGGGGAAAGGCTTCCACCCAGCTGGAAAGGTGACCTACGATCACCAGTAAATATATCAGTCTTCCTCCTTTGGGCATTTCTGTGAAATCTACTTGAATGCTTTGAAATGGTCTTAGTCTGGGAGGTCTTCCTCCTGTGGCCTGTTTTCTGATCACCTTTTTGTTTATCCTTTGACAAGTTACGCAACTTCCACATACTTGTTTAGCAGGGGTATAAATCCCTGTACACCCATACCCTGTTGCATCATGCAGAGTCGGGGATCCCCAATGACTCCTTTTGTGTAATATAGACGTTAGCTCTCTCATCAGGGGTTTACTTATTTTTCTTCCATCGGGAAGTATCCATCTCATCTTCAGTTTGAGTGACCCCTATCCTGTCTAATTCTTCTTTCTTCTCTCTGATAAACTGGGGCCTTAATACTACCTTAGGGATGTCTGGGATCAGGCTAAATAGTCTAATTTCTTCCTCCAGGGAGGCTTGCTTAGCAGCTTCAGCTGCAAACCTGTTTGCTACAGCTTCTGTGGTGTTCCCTTTCTGAAAACCATTTACATGAACTATGGCTACCTCTGCTGGAAGCAAGAGGCTTTCTAAAACCTGTTTGGCCAGTTCCAAATGTACCAATTATTTTCTCCTGCTATTTATTAGGCCCCACTCTGTCCAGATTTTTCCAAAAGTGTGTACCACTTTGGATTTTAAGTAGGCATACTTAAATTCAGTGTATATAGTGCCTTTTTGGCCTTCAAGGAGCTTTAGGGCCTGGTTAAGAGCATAATAATTCACAGGTTTGGGCTAACCAGCAATTAGGTAATCTTCCTTTCTCACATAAGGAGTGTTTATTTCCATCAATGACACCATCACTGTTATGTCCCTTGCCATCTGTCACTGGAGACAGCCCATCCACAAACAGCCTTATCTCATCATGTAGTAGAGCTTCCCTAAGGTCTGGTCTAACTTTGGTTTGGTATTCTATGATACCTAAGCAGTTATGATCTGATGTCTCTTTGTTCTCCTCTCCTTTCCCTAGAAAACTGTCTGGATTCAGGCAAGTATTTGTTGTTACGACCAAGTCATCTTTTTCTAGTAATACAGCCTCATATTTTAGAATCCGAGAATCAGTTAACCATCTTCCAGCTCTTTGATTTAATATATTCCTGACTAGGTGTGGGGTGCTTACTATTAGGGCCCCACCAAAGGTTAGCTTTCTAGTCTCCTCTACCAGCAGGTCTGTGGCAGCTATTGTTTGCACACATTTGGGCTACCCTTGAGAGACAGGATTGAGAAGCTTGGAGACAAAAGCAGCAGGTTGCCTTTTCCCACCCCATATTTGAGTGAGCACTCCAAGGGCCATGCCCTAGTCTACTGTTAGAAACAGGTGGAATGGGTTCTCTAAAGATGGGAGGGCCAGGGCTGTAATGAGGGCCTGGTTTAGCTCTTTCACTGCCTGAATTTCTTCTGAGGACCACTGCAAGTGATCAGGTTCCTCTTCTAATAACTTGACCGGCCGGATGCAACAGGGAAAGAAGAAGGGGTGGGGACACGGGGCAGAGCCAGTCCTCCTGTTTGGGGCCTGGGCCTAGGAAAGCTAACTAGGGGCAGGAAAGGGGAGCCCCAGGCTGTGGATGCCTCTGCGGGGGAACGTTGGGTCAGCAACGGCCAGAGGAAATCCTAAGGCCAAACAGTATCTGTGGCCTCCCTACCTTTGGGCATCTTCTGGTCGCCAATTTGCTGCAAGTCACAGCTCCCAAATCTGGTTGTGCAGGCTCCAAAGCAGTGGAGCCTGGCGCTTCTGCCATCTCCACCTCCTGGATCTCAGAGCTGCTGGATGGCTCCACCCACCACCCGCTGAGCTGGCCCCACTTGGGGCTGGCATTGGTGGACAGCATGTTCCGGGCGCCTCTGCTCCTCTTTGCTGGGGCCTGCACCTTTCCTGGCTGCTGACTCATAGATGTCAGAGCTGCAGGACGGCTCCACAGAAGCCCTGTGTTTAGGACACCTCATTAGTGAAGGAGAGTGGAGAGTAAACCCAAGGGACTATCCAGAGGAATGTCAGATGGAGTCTCTTTGGCTCCCTCTTTCCTTTGTCCCCTAAGCCTAGAATTTCTGTTTCTCATTTTCAGTCAGTCTCTGTGTCTGAGCTTTTCCCTGTGTACTCAACTCCCCAACTGGAGGTTTCTTGCACACCCCGAGAATCGCTTTGTCTGTCTCTGGCCGTTTCCCTCGCAGAACGGAACTGCAGATTGGGACTCTGCACTTGCCTTATATCTGGGATACGTCTCAGTCACACACACTCGACCTCCAAAAATGCCCAACCACCAAGGCAGTACTTAGAGTCCAATTTTCCTACCTTGGCTTGTGCATGAGGTTTCCTGGTTGCTGCAGTGCCTGCTTTTCTCCGTATGTCACCTCCACTGCCTCCTGAATAACAGTCTCAGGTTTGTCTATGGCCTTTGCAAGGAGCTGGGACACTCAGACAGAGCGGGCCACCTAAATCGGGTGAGATTCATCTCCCTTTTCGGCCGGAGTCTGACTCTACGCAGGCATAAAGATCCCAGACGGGCCCCCAAGTTTGTAAGGGAAACATTCACCCGTCCAAACCCAAATAATGGACTCGGAGACATGAAGAACAGCGGAAGTAAGACTTTTAGTGGCAGTCTTGCAAGATCTAGGTGTCTGGTAGGCACACACACCCACGGCAGTTACAGCAGGTAATTTATCTCCTAGCACGCAAGTCTCTCCCCCATTTCCTCACTGGTCGAGTACTATGGGGTTACAATCTTCCCAGACGTTGCCTAAGTTTCATTATCCCCCTTATAAGGTTATACCCCAGTCCCCTTCCTCACTTAAGTTTCGATTTTCCGATAGCAAAACTTTTCCCTTTCATGGGCTGACCCCTCCTCTACATTCTGATCACTTATAGTGACTTTCTAGGTGCATGAGCTGTGTGGTTTGTCACATCTGCAGGTTGACTGCCAGTACTTAGATTTAGCATGCCTTGAAAATGGATCATTTAAAATGTTTTCTCACACAATGGCACTCTTTTCACCAGGTTTTCCTTTTTTTTAAATTGTCGTTTTCCATCAAAATTCTAGTTAATCATGCAGTGGAAGTTTATTATGTTTAAATAAATTTTAAAAAGTTTAAGTGCTCACTTCTGTTTAATATATTAAATATTGATATATCAACATAAATAAAAGCTTCTGTTAACAAAGTTCTTTGTTTAAAAAGTATAAAGGAATAGTGATAACCAAAAAGTTTGACAGCTGCCATATTATATAATATCAAAAAATTATTTATTACTTACTACTCATCTCACCAGCAAAATCATTGGATCCTGCACAGGGATAGATACAAATTTTGCAAAATTTTAATTTTCACTTGATAGTTTTAATTTTTTCATTGGCAATAAATACTGTCATTTATTTTTCTTGAAGTGATAGGCACACTTTGTTCATTTTCAAGAAAATGTCTTCCACATACCCTAGCCCAAATAACATAGTTTGTGTGTCATTCTTTCAAGTAAAAATTGTATTATTTAAAAACATGTCTCACAAGTGCTTTTCCTGCAATGGCCCCTGTACTTCAGTATATAGCAACAGTGCTTATGTATACTTCCCATTTCATCATAACAGATAATGTGGATATTCCTCTTTTATATGTGCTACACCAGAATTTAACAAGGTAACTGCAGGGAGAATCTGAAACTATATTAATAAATTTTTCATATTCTATTATATTAAAATCCATTTGTCTATCTTGCGTTTTAAATGAGTGTTTTGCCCATTTATAAGTTTGAAACATCATGTATTAGTCATTTGGAAAATACTGATTTAGTGAGGCCTGCAGATCTTTCAAATGTGTTTCTTTATACCACCATTGTCATAGTGTGGTTTGAGGACTGACAGGGCTAGCAGAAAACTCCATCTGTATCAGGTATTTGACGGTCAAGATTTATGTAATTAAGAATTTTTGGAAATAGTAAGATTGTTAAATTTCTACCCTGACTGATGAGTATTAAAAAAAAGAACCACAGATTATCAGTATGTGGAGTGAAAGATGGACATCACAACATATATGGCAGATATTAAAAGAATAAAGGAATATTATAAACACTCAAAAGCTAAGAAACAATGTAGATGAAATGGAACACTCTTTTAAAAAATATTCATTGCCCAGATTTACACAAGAAAACAGCTACGTATTTATTAAGGAAATTAAATTTGCAGTAAAAAAGTTCCTCACAGGCCCTGTGATATCATGAGGGAATAATTTGATGTGGCTCCTACTTCTAAAAGCAGCAATTCTCAAACTTTTTAAGAGTTTTGGAATGTCTGTGTTGTTAAAAATTATTGAATATCTCAAGGTGCTTTATATAGGCTATAGCTATTGAAATTTACTCTATTAGAAATTAAAACTAAGAACTCTAAAAAATATTTATTCATCAGTTCATTGACAAAGTAATAACCCAGTTAAAGTTAACATAAAATTTTATGAAAAATAACTTTTTCAAAAGAAAAAATAATATAACCTATTGTGATAACCCTGTGGGTTGCTTAGCCCCTGGAAAACTGCTGTACACATGTAAGAGAATGCCAGTGAAAAAGGCAAAAGGTAGGCATTTCTGGAATGGAACTTTTATTTCTCAGCACTTTATAGGTTTTTTAAAGAGAAGGTGTTGCTATTGTTGTATCAGATAACACAGATATTAAACCAACAACAGTAACAAAAGACAAGGGCATTATATAATGACAAAGGATTTAATTCAACAAGATTTGTATCTCCTAGGTATATATGCCATACCCAGTGTTGTAGCACCCACATTTATAAAACAAATACTACTAGACTTAGGAAAACGAGACAACCACACAATAATAGTGGAGGACTGCAACAGCCCACTGACAGCACTGGACAGATCACCGCAGAAAACTAACAAATTCTCGACTTAAATTGAAGTTTTGACCAAATGGACGTAATACACACGTACAGAATACCCTACCCAACAACCACAGAATACACATTTTACTCATCTTTGCATGCTCTAAAAATGACCACATGCTCAGTCATAAAGCAAGTCTCAATAAATTCAAAAAAGCAGAAATCATACCAAGCATCTGTTTGGACCACAGTTGAATAAAATTAGAAATCAATACCAAGAATAACTCTGAAAGCCACGTAAGTACATGGAAATGAAACAGTTTGCTCCTGAATGACGTTTGGCTAAACAAAATTAAGGCAGAAATACAATTTTTTTTGGAACAAATGAAAATAGAAACAATATATGAAAACCTCTAGGATATAGCAAAATAGAGTTAAGAGGAAAATTTTAGTGCTAAATTCCTACATCAAAAGAAAGATCTCAAATTAACAACCTAACATTGCCCCTAAAGGAACTAGCAAAATAAGAACAAACCAACCTGAAAGCTAGCAGAACAAAAGAAATAACAAAGATTTGTGCAGAACTAAACAGAATTGAGACCAAAAAATTACACACAGAATCAACAAAACGGAAAGTTCTGTTTGTCCTTCTAAAGGGTAAACAAAATTGATAGACTGCCAGCTAGATGAACCAAGAAAAGAGAGAAGATTCAAATAAGCACAAAAATGGCAAAGATGTCATTACAGTGGATACCATAGAAATACAAAGATCCTTAGAGACTACTGTGGACATTTTTATGTGCACAAACTAGAAAATTTAGAGGAAATAGATAAACATCTGGAAGCACACAGCCTTCCAAGAGTGAACCAGGAAGAAATCAAAATCCTGAACAGACCAATAACGAGTTATAACGTTGAATACATAATAAAATCTACCAACCACAAAAAGCCCTGAACCAAAAGGATTCATAGCCAGATTTTACTAGATGTTGGTAGAAGAGCTGATACCAATCTTACTGAAACTATTCCAAAAAAATCAAGGTGGAGAGATATCCTCCCTAACTCATTCTTTGAAACCAGTATCATCCCAATATCAAAATCTAGCAAGGACACAACAACAAAAAGAAAAACAGAAATGCAGGCCAGCATCCCTGATGAAGATAGAGGCAAAAATCCTCAACAAAATACTAGCAGACTGAATCTAGCAGCACATAAAAAAGATAATTCACCATGATCAGGTAGGTTTTTTCCTAGATACAAGGATGGTTCAGAATATACAAATCAATAAATGTAATTCACCACATAAACAGAATTAAAAAACAAAAACCATATTCTTATGCAGTAAAATCCAGCATCTCTCCATGATAAAACCTCAACAACCTAGGCATCAGAGGAACATACCTCAAAATAGTAAGAGTCATTTATGACATACCCACAGCCAACATCATCCTGAATGAGCAAAAGTTGAAAGCATTTCCCCTAAGAACCAGAACAAGACAAGGATGTCCACTCTCACCATTCCTTTTCAACATAGTACTAGAAGTTCTAGCCAAAGCAATCAGACAAAAGAAATAAAAGATGTCCAAATAGGCAAAGAGGAAGTCAAATTATATGCTTGTTGATGACATGATCCTGTACCTAAAAAAACCCTGAAAGATTCCCCGAAAGACTCCTGGACCTGAGAAACAACTCCAGTAAAGTTTGAGGATACAAAATAAATGTACAAAAATCACTGGCATTTCTATACACCAATAACATTCAAGCTGAGAGCCAAATTAAGAACTAATTTACAATAGACACACACAAACACACACACCACACACACACAATATCTAGAATTACATTTAACCAAGGAAGGGAAAGATCTCTACAAAGAACTGTAAAACACTGATGAAAGAATTCATAGATGACACAAACAAATGGAAGAAACGTCCCATGCTTGTAGATTGAAAGAATCAACATTGTTAAATGACCATACTGCCCAAAGCAATCTACAACTTCAATATAATTCCTATCAAATTACCAATGTGATTTTTTTTCACAGAATTAGAAAAGACAATTCTAATATTCATGTGGAAATACAATAGAGCCTAAATAGGTAGAGCGATCTAAGCAAAAGGAACAAAGCCAGAGGCATCATATTACCCAACTTCAGACTATACTGCAAGGCTATTGTAACCAAAATAGCACGGAATTGGTACAAAGATAGACACATACATCAATGGAACAAAATAGAGAACCCAGAAATAAAGCCACACACCTGCTATGAACTGATCTTCAACTGAGTCAACAAAAATAAGCAATAGAGAAAGGATACCCTATTCAATAAATGGTGCTGGGAAAACTGGCTAGCCATATGTAGAAGAATGAAAATAGACTCCTACCTCTCACTATATACAAAAATTAACTCAAGATGGATTAAAGACTTATTTAAGACCTCCAGCTATAAAAATTCTAGAAGAAAACCTAGGAAAATATCTTTTGAACATTTAAAGAATTTATGACTAAGATCCCAAAAGCAAATGCAACAAAAACAAAACTAGACAAGTGGGGTTTCATTACAGAGCTTCTGCACAGCAAAAGAAACAAACAGGGTAAACAGCGTACAGAATGGAAGAAAGTATTTGCAAACTATATATCCAGTAAAGGACTGATATCCATAATAAATAAGGAATTTGAATCAATAAGAAAAAATAACTCGATTAAAAAGTGGCAAAGGACATGAACAGACCTTCTCAAAAGAAGACATACGAGTGGCGAAAAAAGGTGAAATAATGTGCAACATCACTAATCATCAGAGAAATGAAATTGAAACCACAGCAAGATACCATCTCATAGCAGTTAGATGGCTGTTATTAAAAAGTAATAAAATAAGACATGTTGGTGAGGATGCAGAGAAAAGGGAACGCTTACACGCTGTTGGTGGGAATGTAAATTAGTACAACCCCTATGGAAAACATTCTGGAGATTTCTCAAAGAACTAAAAATAGAACTACCATTCAAACCAGCAGTCTCATTACTGGGTATCTACCCAAAGGAAGAGAAATGGTTTTATCATAAAGACAGCTGTGCTTGCATGTTTGTTGCATGCAGCACTATTCACAATAGCAGAGGCACAGAATCAAGTGTTCATCAACAGTGGATTAGATAAAAGAAAATGTGGTACATATGCACCATGGATACTACAGAGCCATAATCAGGAATGAAATAATGTCCTTTACAGCAACGTGGATGCAGCTGGAGGCCATTATCAAGTGAATTAATGCAGAAACAGAAAAATACCGTATGTTCTTACTTATAAGTGGGAGCTAAACAGTGGGTACACATGGACGCAAAGATGGAAACAGTAGACACTAGTGACTCCAAAAGGAGGCTGAGGGGGTAGGGTTGAAAACCTCCCTCCTGGGTACTATGTTCACTATTTGTGTGATGAGTTCAACAGAAGCTCAGACCCCAGAATTATGCAATGTACCCATGTAACAAACCTGCGTATGTGCCCCCTGAATCTATACTTAAAATAAATATACTCATAATTCTCTATTAAATATAATTTTCACTATAAAACAAAGTTTTAGTTTTCTTATCTCTGACTTGTGTAGTTTCAGATGAGAAGTCTGTTGTAATTCTTAGTGTTTCTGAATAAGTTCTAGGAATTGTTCATCTTATAGTTTCCTGGCATTTGCCCTTTGCCTAAGACTTGTGAGGTTTTGCTTTATGCATGTGCAAATTAGTATTCAAACAAAAACATAAGAGGATCCCTATGCCAATTTCTGGTGCTCTCTATTCTCTGAATCTCTCTCTTCTCTCTATACTGCCCTACAAATTCTAGTCACCTTCACCTCCTTGATCTGTCTCCTCAACTTGGCAAAGTTTCCATACTGTGTTTGGTGTGACCCTTTCTGCACAGTGTTCTGGAAAGAGCCTCCTGCCAGAATGGCAGGACAGTTATAGGACTTACCTAATTTGTTTTCCTTCTGTCTGTTGCTAGTGTCTGACAACAGTTTCTTATATTCTGTCCAATTTCTAGTTGTTACTGTAAGAGGGTAAATCTGATCCCAATTACTCTACCATGTTAGAAGCAGAAGTTATATTAATTTTTATTTTTAGAGTTGCCTCAAGAACTGCTGTTCTAAAATAAACTGAACCCTATTTAATATATAATGGATAATACTGGACAGTGAAATGTTTTTTCCTTAGGAAAATCTAAACAGCTGTGGGTCTGGGTTAAACCATATTAACAGCCTTGCTAATGAAATGTAAAAAGTAAAAGAAGAAACGTTAGGTGCTTCCAGGACACTCATACTTGAAGTACAGGTTGAACATCCCAAATCCAAACATCTGAAATCTGAAATGCTCCAAAATATGAAACTTTTTGAATGCCAGCATGACGCTCAAAGGAAATGCTTATTCAAGCATTTGGGATTTGGGATGCTCAACTGGCACATATATAATGCAGATATTCCAAAATCTGAAAAAATTAGAAATGAAACACTTTTTGGTTACAAGCATTTTGGATAAAAGATACTCAAGCTATAGTAGATTTCATTTTTCAATTGGTAAATACTGTTTGGTGCTTATTATGCGCCAGGCAGTATGCTTAGACTTCAAGATGAGTAAATACAACAAGCATTACCTATCTTCTTGGAGTTTATAGTCTAGTGAAGAAGAGGATTAATTGTAAAAATAAACAATTAGAACTCTGATGAGTACAATGAAAGAGAAGAACATGGTGCCATGAAAGTATATAAAGATACCTGATTTAGGATGGACAGACAGGGAAAGCTTCCCTGAGAAGCTGGTAGCTGAGCTGAAATTTGATACTTGAAGGATGAGCAGGAGCTCAATAGTAAGGAGAAGGAAGTAAGTTGAGTAGAACATTTGCACAGCAATCTAGGCTGAGGGAAAGCACATGCAGAAGCGATCAGGAGAGAGCCTGGCATATGCCAAGGAACTGAGGGAAGGCTAATGCAGTTGGACTGCAGAGAGCAATGTTTTGGAGGGAGTGGTGGAAGATGTGGCAGGAGAAGTATGCAGGGCCTATATCACACAAGACTGAGTACAAGTTATTCAGAATTTATTCATTCATTCATTTATTTATTGAGACGGGGTCTCTGTTGCTTAGGCTGCAGTGCAGTGGCGCTGTCACGGCTGATCACAGCCTCAACTTCCCAGGCTCAAGCGATTCTCCCACCTCAGCCTCCCAAGTATCTGGGACTACAGGCACACACCACCTCGCCCATCCATTTTTAAAATATTTTGTAGAGACAAGGTCTCACCATGTTGCCCAGGCTGGTCTTGAACTTCCTGGTCTCAAGCAGTCCTCCCACCTCAGCCTCCAAAAATGTTGGAATTACAGCCATGAGCCACCACACCTGGCCATAATTTTATTTTTTATAAAAAAAAATTTTACAATAAAATTCAGATTTGTTCTTATTGGGAGAACAGTAGAAGTCATTGAATGAGGAATCAGTGAGCAGATTTTAAATAAGAAAACATAATTTTGTTATTGTGAAGAATGGATAGAATATGGCAAACCTATTAGGGAACTATTGCAGTTATCCAGGAAGACATGATGGTAGCTTGAAATGTAGTCGTGTGAATGGATTCAAGAGAGATTTAGAGGGAAACAGTATAATCAACCTGTTGTTGATAGGAGGAGTAACTCCTCAGAGTAGTTGTGGGTAATGGAATACATGTTTCTACCGTTTGCTGAGACAACACCGGAAGAGGACCAGATTGGTTTTTGGATATGTTGAATTTGAGGTGCCTTTTGAATGTCCAGATGGAAATGTCATGTAGGCATTTGAGTTTGAAATCAGAGGAGAGATCAGAATTGGAACTCACACTTGGGTTTTATTATATTGAGGTAGTAATTGCTGTGGGTGTGAATGAGATTAGCCAGAGCAAAGGAATATAGAAAGAGAAGAGCAGTCCTGTATTTTGAGGAATTCCCCCTATTGAATATCCAGGTAGAATAGTGAATCATTAAAGAAGCCTGCAAAGAACTGATTTCAGCAAACCTAGGACAGTGAATTATTAAAGAAGTTACCGTGTGTTGCTTTCCTATGGCTGCTTTAACAAATTACCAGTTCTACTGGCTTGAAACAACAGAAGTTTATTCTCACAGTTCTAGAGGCCAGAAGTCTGAACTCAGTATTAGTAGGCTGGATTCAAGGTGTCTGTCACCAGGGCCATGCTCTCTCCAGAGTCTCCAGGGGAGAATCTGTTCCTTTCCTCTTCCAGCTTCTGTTGGCTGCTGGCATTCCTTGGCTTATCTCCACATCACTCCAGTTACTGCCTACACGGTCAGATTGCCTCCTCCTTTTCTGTGTGTCTAATCTCCCTCTGCTTCTCAGACAGCTGTAATGACATTTAGGGCCCACAAGATAATCCAGGACAATCTCATCTCAGAATCTTTAATGACATCTGCCAAAATTTCCCATAAAAGATAACATTCGCAGCTTCCAAAGGTTAGGACCCAGTATCTTCAAGGTAGCATTTTTGAACCTGCCACTCAAGGGAAGAAAATGCTTCAAGGATTCAATTGATCAGCAATGTCAGGTGTTTCTGAAAGATTAAATGTGAATTTAAAAAGTCCAATCAGTAGCCTCAGAGAGTGGAAGCCAGATTGAGAGGTGTTAGGAGTTAATAAGGTGTTTTGTAGCTAGACGTTGCAAGATTTCTTGATTGCTTTTTCTCTGTGAGATGGAATTATTGGAGATTGAAATTTTGAAAAGAATGGAGAAAATTTTGTGTTGGAGAGAATGGAAAGTAATTTTAACAAAGAGGGCATTATTGTATACTCATTGTATACTGTTGATACCATGCATGAAATGATAGCTGAATCGTCTGTCCTCTTGTGTTACTTTGTCCATTTGCACTTGGATATAGCTATGGAGAAAGCAGCTTGCTGGGTTCATCTGGGGTTGGTATTTTGCAAGACAGGAATCTAAGGAGTTTGATATGTTGGTTTGCAGTAGTTTGAATCCTCTACTGCTTACCCCGTGAACATTTTTGGTGTACCTCCACTCTGTCCCATTTAGCCAGGATTTACTTAAGGAATGCAAATGAAATAGTTGGTAAAATAGAACAATATCAGAGTAAACAAAGATCACATATTTTCACTCTTAATTATGGGTCCCCTCTGTAACCACAAGAAGCAACGATAGTTGGTCACTTCTGAAAATTGTTATAATACAGTCCAGATGTGACTTAGAAAGTCTAGGGTAACAGATTTGCTTTTTCTATATGCATTTTTAAACCTGCACAGATTTTGTCAGCTACTTTTGTTTTTAGTGCTATTTATAACTCCCTGTTGCCTTTATTCCTAAAGAGCTACTGCTGTTTAAGATGGTTGCCAGATTGGCCATCTGCTGTTTCCCACTAGTCATCGATTTTTCATCAGGTACATAACCAAAGCATTTCTTCTTTTCAGTCCTTTTGGGGAGTTTCACATCAGTCCACTGTATAGAAGCTGATAGAATATTTTGGTGGTGGCATTCTCAGCATACATTTCTGAACTGGCAGACTGTTTTCTTACCAGGATCTCATTGTTGATATACTGCCTAGCTTCCTAATGCTGCAAGATTAATCTTCTTGAGTAATTTAAATTCAAAATGTATTTTTAAAATATCTTCTATAAGCAAGGCTACAGGCTGAATACTTTTAGAAATTTAAAAAAATTAATTAAAAATTTTCTACCTTCCAAATGCATATAGTTCTTGGGGAGACAGTGTGTTTGTCAATATGCCCAAACCATATAATTAGAATTACAAAGAGACAAGGAAAGGTAAAATGCTGTATAAGAATTCAGGAATTCTAGATAAGATTGTGATGTGATTGTGCATATCTCGCATTCTGTCTTCCTCTTTGTCCACCGAAATCCAGGTAGAGTCAGTAAACAAAATCTAAGTAGATGCTTTCTAAAAGAAAATCATCTAAAACAAAGTGATACAGAAGGGTTAAAAGTTTTTTAAAAAAATCCGTGAATGCTTGAAAAAGATTGTGCAATTTCAAAAGAAACCAAGAATTGTAATAATATAAGATGCGGCAGAATTCAAGGCAGAAAACATTAAACAGAAAGGATCATTTTTTAATAGATCATAGTGGGAGATTTTAACCATTGTCTCTGAGAGTAAAGTATTCGGAGAATAAGCAAGACCATAGGAGATACTAAGAGATCTAGATAAACTTGGCAGGAACTTCCGGTTTCATTGCTTGACCCAATACTTCTGTGAATTACCCACTTTATTTCTTTATTGTTAACCCTCTCTCTCAACTATTGGGTACCTTCTCAATTTGGTTAATGAGTCACTTGGCATACAGTTCTCGGGTTCTTTGACATTTTCTGGTAGAAAGTGAATCCTAAGTATTTTGCGAAATAAATTTCAGGGTTCTTGTAGAGTCATAAAGAGGCAAATGAATGAAATGAATTAGGCACATTTCTTTTGAGTCCAAGATCTAATTCTGTTCACACACACACACCTTTGCCTATCAAGCCTAACCATGAAGAAAATGATACGTAAACTTCTAAGTGATATGGTACACATTTCTGCTTCCAAAATGGGATAGATATACTTTTCCATAGTTTTACCTATTATTCTTGCTAAGTAGAGCTAAAATCCCTGGACATTACATTTAAAAACAAACATAAGAAAACAGAAAAATGGAGAGAACTGGGTGGATCTGCTCAGGACCCAGATAATATCACAGTAAAAGTCCTGAGTTTTCTTATTACCTTATGTATTTCAGAATGGTGCAGAAAAGCTGGCAATCCAGAAATGTTGGGCACAGACAAAAGCCCCAGGAAAAAAATGATGCTCTTTAGCTGGGGACCAGGAAAAGGGTAGCCTAGCAAGACAGAAAATAACCACTTCAGCCAAAGAACATAGAAGAGTCACCCTGATTAGCAAAGACCAAGTGAGGACCTAGACTTTCACAGTGTTTAGGCTGTAACAAGACAACTCCTCACTCCATAGTGGCAGCAGAGCCAATATGGGAAGCAGTAACCATAGGCAGGGAGCCTGAACTCCCACGTATGCTTAATATGAGTCCCGTCTTCCCTTCACCCCCAAGTTCTTTGGTATACAAAAGCCTGTGGGCGGCAAGCCACCCAGGCACCGAGGCAAGAGACAGGGGACACGAGCTGTTCCAGTATAATAAAATATAAAACAAGAATAGTTATACCAGATATAGATCTTAGATATGATTATATATGAATATCATTAATCATTAGTTTGTAGCAATTACTTTTTATTCCAATATTATGATAATCCTCACTCTATAATCATAGTCTAGGAAAAACCAGGCCATACAGAGATAGGAGCTGAGGGGACATAGTGAGGTGTGACCAGAAGACAAGAGTGCAAGCCTTCTGTTATGCCCGGACAGGGCCACCAGAGGGCTCCTTGGTCTGGCAGTGACGCCAGCGTCTGGGAAGACGCCCGTTACCAGGCGGATCGTGGTCCAGCAGTAGCAAAAGGTGTCAAGGAACAACACCCGCTCCTTAGCAGACTGGGAAGCAGGGGGGAGGGTCTCCCTTTCCCCGGGGGAGTTTAGAGAAGACTTTGCTCCTCCACCTCTTGTGGAGGGCCTGACATCAGTCAGGCTCTCCCACAGTTATCCGGAGGCCTAACCGTCTCCCTGTGATGCTGTGCTTCAGTGGTCCCACTCCTAGTCTGCCTTCATGTTCCATCCTGTACACCTGGCTCTGCCTTCCAGATAGCAGTAGTAAATTAGTGAAAATACTGATAGTCCCTGATATGCAGAAATAATGGCGTAAGCTGTCTTTCTCTGTCTCCTCTCCCTCTCTGTCTCCTCTCCCTCTCTGCCTCAGCTGCCAGGCAGGGAAGGGCCCCCTGTCCAGTGGACATGTGACCCACGTGACCTTACCTATCATTGGAGGTGACTCACATTCTTTACCCTGCCCCTTCTGCCTTGTATCCAACAAATAACAGTGCAGCCAGACATTCGGGGCCACTACCGGTCTCCGCGCATTGGTGGTAGTGGTCCCCCGGGCCCAGCTGCTTTTTCTCTTGTCTCTTTGTCTTGTGTCTTTATTTCTACACTCTCTCGTTGCCGCACACAGGGAGGGACCCACCGACCCTGTGGGGCTGGTCCCTACAAAAGCCTAGTGAGAAACCTGCACTTCCACCCCCCACTAGGCATTTTTTCCACCAGAGCAATGTCAAAGGAAGCTTACTATAATGGAATATTAAAAGTAGATCCAGTCACCTAATGTAATAACCCAAATATCCAGGTTTCAATGAAAAAAACCTCTCATACCAAGAAGCAGGAAAGTGTCAGCTCAAATTAGAAAAGACAGTTAATACATGCTGACACTGAAATAACACAGATACTAGAATTATTTGACAAGAATTTTTTTATTGTACTTTAAGTTTTGGGATACATGTGCAGAATGTGCAGGTTTGTTACATAGGTATACACGTGGCATGGTGGTTTGCTGCACCCATCATCCCGTCATCTACATTAGGTATTTCTCCTAATGCTATCTCTGCCCTAGCTCCCCACCCCGCAACAGGCCCCGGTGTGTGATGTTCCCCTCCCTGTGTCCATGTGTTCTCATTGTTCACCTCCCACATAAGAGTGAGAACATGTGGTGGTTGGTTTTCTATTCCTATGTTAGTTTGCTGAGAATGATGGTTTCCAGATTCATCCATGTCCCTGCAAAGGACATGAACTCATCCTTTTTGATGGCTGCATAGTATTCTATGGTATATATGTGCCACTTTTTATTTATCCAGTCTGTCATTGATGGGCATTTGGGTTGGTTCCCAGTCTTTGCTGTTGTGAACAGTGCTGCAGTAAACATACATGTGCATGTGGCTTTATAGTAGAATGATTTATAAGCCTTTGGGTATATACCCAGTAATGGGATTGCTGGGTCAAATGGTGTTTCTGGTTCTACATCCTTGAGGAATCGCCAACTGTCTTCCACAATAGTTGAACTAATTTACACTCCCACTAACAGTGTAAAAGTGTTCCTATTTCTCCACATCCTCTCCAGCATCTGTTGTTTCCTGACTTTAATGTTCGCCATTCTAACTGGCGTGAAATGGTATCTTGTGGTTTTGATTTGCATTTCTCTAATGACCAGTGATGATGAGCTTTTCTTCATGTGTTTGTTGGCTGCATAAATGTCTTCTTTTGAGAAGTGTCTGTTCATATGTTTCACCCACTTTTTGATGGGGTTGTTTTTTCTTGTAAATTTGTTTAAGTTCTTTGTAGATTCTGGATATTAGCCCTTTGTCAGATGGATAGATTGCAAAAATTTTCTCCCGTTCTGTAGGTTGTCTATTCACTCTGATGATAGTTTCTTTTGCTTTGCAGAAGCTCTTTAGTTTAATTAGATCCCATTTGTCAATTTTGGTTTTTGTTGCCATTGCTTTTGGTGTTTTAGTCATGAAATCTTTGCCCATGCCTATGTCCTCAATGGTATTGCCTAGGTTTTCTTCTAGGATTTTTATGTGTTATGTCTTACATTTAAGTCTTTAATCCATCCTGAGTTAATTTTTGTATAAGGTGTAAGGAAGGGGTCCAGTTTCAGTTTTCTGCATATGACTAGCCAGTTTTCCCAACACCATTTGTTAAGTAGGGAATCCTTTCCCCATTGCTTGCTTTTGTCAGGTTTGTCAAAGATCAGATCGTTGTAGATGTGTGGTGTTATTTCTGAGGCCTCTGTTCTGTTCCATTGGTCTATATATCTGTTTTGGTACCAGTACCATGCTGTTTTGGTTACTGTAGCTTTGTAGTATAGTTTGAAGTCAGGTAGTGTGATGCCTCGAGCTTTGTTCTTTCTGCTTAGGATTGTCTTGGCTATACGGGCTCTTTTTTGGGCATGTGCAAAGACACTCATAGGCTCAAAATAAAGGGATGGAGGAATATTTACCAAGCAAATGGAAAGCAAAAAAAAAAAAAAGCAGGGGTTGCGATTCTAGTCTCTGATAAAACAGACTTTAAACCAACAAAGATAAAAAGACAAAGAAGGGCATTATATAATGGTAAAGGGATCAATGCAACAAGAAGAGCTAACTCTCCTAAATATATATGCACCCAATACAGAAGCACCCAGATTCATAAAGCAAGTTCTTAGAGACCTACAAAGAGACTTAGACCCCCGTACAATAATAGTGGGCGACTTAATACCCAACTGTCAATATCAGACAGATCGAGACAGAAAATTAACAAGGATATCCAGGAGTTGAACTCAGCTCTGGACCAAGCGGACCTAATAGACATCGATAGAACTCTCCACCCCAAATCAACAGAATATACACTCTTCTCAGCACCACATCACACTTATTCTAAAATTGACCACATAATTGGAAGTAAAACACTCCTCAGCAAATGCAAAAGAGCAGAAATCATAACAGTCTCTCAGACCACAGTGCAAACAAATTAGAACTCAGGATTAAGAAACTCGCTCAAAACCACACAACTACATGGAAACCGAACAACTTGCTCCTGAATGACTACTGGGTAAATAATGAAATTAAGGCAGAAGTAAATAAGTTCTTTGAAACCAATGAGAACAAAGACACAATGTATCAGAATCTCTGGGACACAGCTAAAGCAGTGTTTAGAAGGAAATTTATAGCACTAAATGCCCACAGGAGAAAGCAGGAAAGATCTAAAATCGACACCCTAACATCACAATTAAAAGAACTAGAGAAGCAAGACGAAACAAGTTCAAAAGCTAGCAGAAGACAAGAAATAACTAAGATCAGAGCAGAACTGAAGGAGATACAGACACGGAAAACCCCTCAAAAAATCAGTGAATCCAGGAGCTGGTTGTTTGAAAAGATTAACAAAATAGACTGCTAGTCAGACTAATAAAGAAGAAAAGATAAAAGAATCAAATAGACAAAATAAAAAATGATAAAGGTGATATCACCACTGATCCCACAGAAATACAAACTACCGTCAGAGAATACTATAAACACCTCTATGCAAATAAACTAGAAAATCTAGAAGAAATGGGGAAATTCCTGGACACATATAGCCTCCCAAGACTAAACCAGGAAAAAGTTGAATCCCTGAATAGACCAATAACAAGTTCTGAAATTGAGGCAGTACTTAATAGCCTGCTAACCAAAAAAAAGCCCAGGACCAGACGGATTCACAGCCGAATTCTACCAGAGGTACAAAGAGGAGCTGGTACCATTCCTTCTGAAACTACTCCAAACAATAGAAAAAGAGAGACTTCTCCGTAACTCATTTTATGAGGCCAGCATTATCCTGATACCAAAACCTGGCAGAGACACAACAAAAAAAGAAAATTTCAGGCCAATATCCCTGATGAACATTGATGCGAAAATCCTCAGTAAAATCCTGGCAAACCAAATCCAGCAGCACATCAAAAAGCTTATCCACCATGATCAAGTCTGCTTCATCCCTGGGATGCAAGGCTGTTTCAACAGATGCAAATCAATAAACATAATCCATCACATAAATAGAACCAATGACAAAAACCACATGATTATCTCAATAGATGCAGAAAAGGCCTTTGACAAAATTCAATAGCCCCTCATGCTAAAAACTCAACAAACTAAGTATTGATGGAACTTATCTCAAAATAGTAAAAGCTGTTTATGACAAACCCACAGCCAATATCATACTGAATGGGCAAAAGCTAGAAGCATTCCCTTTGAAAACCAGCACAAGGCAAGGATGTCCTCTCTCACTACTCCTATTCAATATAGTATTGGAAGTTCTGGCCAGGGCAATCAGGCAAGAGAAATAAATAAGGGTTATTCAAATAGGAAGATAGGAAGTCAAATTGTCTCTGTTTGCAGATGACATGGTTGTATATTTAGAAAACCCCATCGTCTCAGCCCAAAATCTCCTTAAGCTGATAAGCAACATCAGCAAAGTCTTAGCATACAAAATCAATGTGCAAAAATCACAAGCATTCCCATACACCAGTAATAGACAAACAGAGAACCAAATCATGAGTGAACTCCCATTCACAATTGGTACAAAGAGAATAAAATACCTAGGAATACATCTTACAAGGGATGTGAAGGACCTCTTCAAGGAGAACTGCCAGCCACTGCTCAAGGAAGTAAGAGGGGACACAGACAAATGGAAAAACATTCCATGCTTATGGATAGAAGAATCAATATCATGAAAATGACCATACTGCTCTAAGTAATTTATAGATTCAATGCTATCCCCATCAAGCCACCATTGACTTTCTTCACAGAATTAGAAAAAATAACTTTGAATTTTTTTTTTTTTTTTTTGAGACAGAGTCTCACTCTGTCACCCAGGCTGGAGTGCAGTGGCATGTGATCATAGCTCACAGCAATCTCAAACTCCTGGGCTTGAATGATTGTCCCGCCTCAGCCTCCTGAGGTCTCGCTATGGTGCCCAGGCTGGTCTCAAACTGCTGGGCTAAGCGATCCTCCTGCCTTAGCCTCCCAAAGTGTTGGGATTGTACCCATGAGTCATGGCACCTCGCCCTGACACAAATTTTAAAGGAGTCATCAAGACAGTGCTTCAACAAGCAGTTATGAACATGCTTGAAATAAATTAAAAAAAAAGGAAGTTTTCAGCATAGCAAATAAATAGGTAAAGAAAAACCAATTGGAAACTTTATAACTGAAAAATACAGTAACCAAAATAAAATCTTAATGGGTAAAACTGTAGCAAAACTGACACAAAAAAAAGAAGACACAAATCATCAGGAGTAAAATAAGAGATACAGGTTGAGTATCCTTCATCTGAGATGCTTGGGTCCAAAAATGTTTCGGATTTCAGATTTTTTCAGATTTTAGAATATTTGCATTGGTTGAGCATCCCGAATTCAAAAACCCAAAATCTAAAAATGCTCCAGTGAGCATTTGCTTTGAGTGTCTTGTTGGTACTCTTAAAGTTTCAGATTTTGGAGCATTTCGGATTTCAGATTATCAGATTTGGGATGCTCCACCACTCTGGAGCCTGTGGACATGAAAAGGATACTATTTTTAAAAATCTACAGAAATAAATTTGACAACTTTGATGAAATAAACTAAGTTTTCAGAAAGTACAACATACTGCAAGTCACTCAGTATGGCATAGATAATTTGAATAGTGCTACAACTTAATAGAACTTTATAATTTTAAAATGAAAATAGGCCCGAATGATTTCATTGGAGAATTCTAGCAAAGGCTTAAAGAAGAATTTACACTATTTCTGTGTAGTCTCTGCCAGAAAATAAGGGAATACTTCCTAATTCATTTATGAAATCAGTATTATTTTGCTACCAAAAGCAAAGACAATACCAAAAAAAAAAACCTACCAATAAAGACCAACTCCTTTTTAAGTATAGATGTAGATAATCCTTAACAAAATGTTAATCAGTATAATCCAACGGTATATAAATAGAATTAAACACAATGACCAAGTGGACTTTATTTTGGGAATGCAAGATTGATTCAACATTTGAAAATCTGTCAATGTAATCTATCAATGTAACCATATTAACAGGATCATGAAGAAAATATATCAAATGCTATAGAAGCATTTGACAAAATTCAATACCATTTATGATTAAAACTCTTAGAAAACTAGGAATAGAAGCAAACTTCCTCAACTGGATAAAGAATATTTATAGAAAATAAACAGCATCATACCTGATGAAAGACTGAATGCTTTCCCCTTATGATTGGAAACAAGGTGACAAGGATGCACACACTCACAACTCTTATTCAACAAAATATTGGGAGTTCCACCCAGCACAGTAAAACAAGCGGGGGGAAAGCCCTGACAATTGGAAAAGGAGAAATGAAACACCTTCCTTTTCGCCTGTGACGTGATCATCTGTTTAGAAAATCCTAAGTAATCTACAAAAAATCTGTGGAACTAATAATGTAGCAGGATCACAAGATACATTTAAAAAGCAATTGAATTTCTCTACACTAGCAATGAACGTGTGAAAACCATAATTAAAAGTGAAATACTATTTGGAATTGCTAAAAAAAAAGTGAAATACCTAGATATCAGTCTAACAAGACATGCATAGGACTTGTTGGATGAAAACTATTAAATGTTGATGAAAGAAATCAAAGACCCAAATGAATGGAAAGACATACTGTGCTCATAGATTGGAAGACTCAGCATGTTATAAATGACTATTTTCCTAAAATAGATGTAATACAAGTTTAACAAAATTTCAGCAGGTTCTTTTTGTAAATATAGACAAAATTTTTCTACGATTTATATGAAAAGACAGAAGAACCAGAGTAGCTAGTTTTTCATACAGTTTTGAAAAAGATAAGGTGGGAGGAAACACTCTATACTCAATTTCGACTTATAAAGATAGCATAATCAAGACAGTGTAGTATTGGCAGACAGATAGACACATAGGTCAGTGGAACAGACTAGAAACCCAGAAATAGCTCCACACAAGTAAAGCCAATTGATTTTGACAGACGTACAAAAGAGACTCAGTGGAGGAAAGTGGCCTGTTCAAATGGTACTGGCACAGTTGGATAGCCATAGGCAACAAAATAAACCTTGACCTAAACCTTGTGCAAAAATTAACTGCAAGTGGATCATAGATTCTAAATGTAAACCCTACAACCATAAAACTTAAAACATGGAAAAAAAAATCTCTGGGACATTTGTGATTCATTTGTATCATGGAATCCTACTCAGCAATAAGAAGGGAATGTGATGTATATGCAACTAATCAGAACTCTTAAAGACATTATGCTGAGTGAAGAAAAGTCAGCTCGAAAAGTCACATATGTATGACTGCATTTATAGAACATTCTTGAAATGACAAAATTATAGACATGGAGGACAAATAACAGATTAGTTGTTGCCAGGGATTAGGGATGGGGTTATGGGAACAGAGAGGGAAGTGAATGTGACTATAAAGCAGGTAGTCTTTGTGGCGATGGAACAGTTTTGTATCTTGATTGTGATTGGTGGTAGTGACACAAATCTGCACCTGTGATAAAGCGATACATAGCTATACACACACACTGTACTAATGTCAGTTTCCTAGTTTTGATTTTATATTATAGTAAGATGTAACCATGGGAGAAACTGGGTGCAGGGTACAGGGGACCTCTTTTGCTATCTTTGGAACTTCCTTTGAATCTAAAATTATTTCAAAATTAAAAAAAAATTTTTTTAAATTATCCTAGCTAAAGCATCAAGTGAAAGTTCTTAAGAGAAAAAAAGAAAACAAGGGAAGGGAAGGTACAGGATGTCTGGGAAATTGTCTGTGACATTTAAACTGGTTTTTGCCCAGGGGGCATTTGCCAAATCTGGTTTCCTTTCCTCAGCATCAGAGAGCATTGAGGAACCTGAGGAAATAATAAGGTCTTTCTTTCTGGGATGATGAATCTGATACGTTCTTCCTCTTCACCTTAAAGCTGAGACTCAGCTAAACTGGAAACCACCACCAATCCCACCATCCTTCAAGATTGCAGGGAAAGTTGATTTTCTGCATGCTTCTTAGTTTTTAATGTGCATCAGAATCACA
Source organism: Homo sapiens (assembly GCF_000001405.40). NCBI lineage: Eukaryota > Metazoa > Chordata > Mammalia > Primates > Hominidae > Homo > Homo sapiens. The sequence continues at coordinate 48,354,525 of NC_000010.11, forward strand.
TGGAGGACTTGTTAAAACAAAGATTGCTGGGCAACATCCCCAGAGTGTAAGATTCAGTAGGTCTGGGGTGAGACTTTTAAAATTTGTACCTCTAATAAGTTTCCAGATGATAGTGATTTTGCTGGTCGGGAACCACACTGCAAAAATTATTTGTATAGCTAAAACCTTGTCGGAGTGAATATGGGGGCAAGATCACTGCTGAGAATTTTAAGCAACCAGCTGACCCTTGTATAATTTGCAGTGCGAATTTAACGCTGTGTAGGTGATCTAAAAAAAAAACAGAAAAAGAATTCCCTAAGATAATTTATCCCCATAATGGCAGTATACATAGACTGGCAGTGAGTATCCCCAGACTCTTGTAGAAGCTAACAGAAATTCTCTTTGGAGAAACTCATCTCCATCCCAGAGTTGAAAGTTTTCCTAGAAATAAAATTCTAAGTAAGTAGAACAACTGTGATAGTCAAAAAGAAAAACATAAAGAAACTAAGCACTGTGAGCAGGACTCAACAGCAGACCTGCTGGAAAATAGGAATAGGCAGCTACAGAATATGAAGTAAGTGTTTCATATGTTTCAACAAAAGTTGAAAATATGTTCCAAGATTCAGAAACTATAAAGACTATTCAAAGAGATTTTTTAAAAATAGCTAGAATTTATACAATTGAAAATTATAGTAGTTGAAACTTTATTAAAAGTCCTCAATAGGGCTGGGCGTGGTGGCTCACGCCTGTAATCCCAGCACTTTGGGAGGCCGAGGTGGGCGGATCACGAGGTCAGGAGATCAAGACCATCCTGGCTAACACGGCGAAACCCCATCTCTACTAAAAATACAAAAAATTAGCCGGGTGTAGTGGCGGGTGCCTGTAGTCCCAGCAGCTCGGGAGGCTGAGGCAGGAGAATGGCGTGAACCCAGGAGGCGGAGCTTGCAGTGAGCCGAGATTGCGCCACTGCACTCCAGCCTGGGTGACAGAGCCAGATTCCGTCTCAAAAAAAAAAAAAAAAATCCTCAATAGATGAATTTAACTGCAGATTATATAAACTCAAAAAAGGAAATAATGAACTGAATAATTACTCAACAAGCATTCAAGAGAAACAGTTGAAAAGTACGAAAGAGAAGTTATACATATTTAAAAATAAATATTTATCTGAATGGTTTTCTGTAAGAGAGAATGGTAAACAACAGTTAAAAGAATAATGGCTAAGAATTTTCTGCATCTTGTGAACAACACTAAACTATACATTGAAGAAGCACAGGAACCTAAGGTGGTTAAATAAATAAATCCTCACTTAGCCTTGTTACAATAAAACAGCAGAACATCAAAGACAAAGAAAAGATCTTTGATATATCTGGGGAGGAAGACAGATTTACCGTGAATAAGGTCACACCCAGAAGACAGGGGAACATTTTCTTAAATTAAAATAAAAATCTAGAATTTTATACTAAGAGAATAAATCCAGGGAAATTCATACGTTTCTTGCAGACAAAAACTGAGCATTTGCAATTAGGAAGTCTTCACTTGAAATTTAGAAGTGTGTACTCTAGGCATGAAGAAAGTGACTCTCAGACAGGAGGCCAGAGATACAAGAAAGATCAAAAAGCATAAGAGTAATAAATATCTTAGTAAATCTAAACAAACATTTTTATAAAACAGTAATCATTTTCATAGGCTTTAAAGCATATTAATATATATGTCAATGATAGCACGTAAGTCAGAAGGATGAATGGAGTTTCTGTAAGGTACTTGTGAGGACAGTAAAGACACATAACTTTTCAGAGTCTAAAGTTAATCAGTATGTGTGTCATAATAGCAGATAGAAGAAATAGAGGTAATAACTTGTGAAATAACATAGAGGATGAAATAAGGGAAAATATGAAATCCAAAAGGAGAAAAACCCAGAAACACATAGTTCACAGATTAAGTAGAAAACAACGTGATGGATATAAATCCAAATATATCATTAACTACATTAAATGTAAGATGAATTAAGCCCCAATTAGTTTGAGTGGCCTACTGAATTTTTAAAATCCAACTATGTGGCCTGGCATGATGGCTCACACCTATAGTCCCAGAACTTCAGGAGGCCGAGGCAGGTGGATCACTTGAGGTCAAGAGTTCAAGACCAGCCTGGCCAACATGGTGAAACCCCGTCTTCACTAAAAATACAAAAATTAGCTGGTTCTAATGGCATGTGCCTGTAATCCCAGCTGCTTGGGAAGCTGAGGCAGGAGAATCGTTTCAACCTGGGAGGTGGAGGTTGCAGTGAGCTGAATTTGCACCACTACACTCCAGCCTGGGTGACAGAGTGAGACTCCGTCTCAAAAAAAAAAAAAAAAAAAAAAAAAAAAAAAAAAAAAAATCCAACTACGTAGTTTACCAAAAAAAAAAAAAAAAAAAGTTTAAAATGGTTGAAAGTAAAAGGATGGAAAAAAGATATATCGTGCAAATACTAATATAGGTTTTAAAGGCAAAAATCGGATTGTTTTTTGCACTGATAAAAGGTAACACTTCGATGGGAAAATACGATTGTAAATTCCACATATTTAATGCTGTGACTACAAAGTATATAATGCAAACAAAATACCAGGAGGAAAAAGACATTCATAATCACAGTTGGAGGGTTTTTAGGCTTGTCTCATTAACTGATAGAACAAGCAGAGAATACACTGACATAAACCTTGTTTTACAAGTATTCTTTAATCTGTTTCACATCTGTAACATCTGTAGTCACATCCTGTTTTTCACCACTCATAATTGGTTTTCTGTGCCTTCTTTGTTTTTGTTTAGTCTTGCAAACACCAAATAGTAAATGCCGCTATCTTTATGGTTTGCTAAGAATAATCAGTGATAAGTGAACATACCAGAGAGTTCATCATTTTTGTTTGTGTTTTGAGACAGGGTCTCGCTCTTTTACCTATGCTGGAGTGCGGTGGCATGATCCAGGCTCATGCAGCCTTGACCTCTCGGGCTCAGGTGATCCTCCCACCTCAGCCTCTGAAGTGGGAGCTGGGACTATAGATACATGCCACCACACCTGGCTAAATTTTGTATTTTTTAATAGAGATGGAGTTTCACCATGTTGCCCAGGCTGGTCTCGAACCCCTGGGCTCAAGCAATGCATCCACCTCGGCCTTCCAAAGTGGTGGGGTTATAGGTTACACTGCACCTGGCCATCAATCTTATTTTTTAAAATCTTTTAATTATAAAATACACGTAACATAAATTTATTATTTGTTTAGTACATTTAGAATGTTGTGCATCCGTCACCACTGTATAGTTCCAGGACATTTTCATCACCCCAAGAGGAAACCCTGTATCCGTTACGTAGTCACTCCTCATTCCCCTGTCCCATTTCCTTCCTGGTAAGCACTAATCTGCTTTTTGTCTCTGGGTTTGTCTTTTTTGGATATTTCATGTTAATTGAATCATAGAATATGTACCTGGTTTACTTCACTTAGCATAATGTCCTCAAGGTTCATCCATATTGTAGCAGGTATCAGTACTTTGTTTCTATCTACCACATTTTGTTTATCCAGTCATTAGTTGATGAACCTTTGGATGTTGCTACCTTTTGGCTGTTGTGAATAGTGCTGCTATGAACATGTGTATCCACGTTTTTGTTTGAGTATCTGTTTTCAGTTCTTTTGGATATATACCCCTGACTGGAATTGCTGGGTCATATGGTAATCTATGTTTTACTTTTTGAGGTACCCAGCAAACTGTTTTTCATAGCAGTTGTACCATTTTATATTTCTACCCATGTGATATACAAGGATTCTAATTATCCACATCGTGGTCAGAGCTTGTTACTTTCTTTTTGATTATATTAGTAGTCATCATAGTGGATATGAAGTGGTGCCTTATGGTTTTGATTTGTATTTGCCTCATGGGGTAATGATGTTGAACATCTTGTAACATACTTATTGGCTGTTTTGGGTTTGTCTTTTTTGTTGTTGAATTGTAAGAGTTCTTTCCTGTTTTGGATACAAGACCTTTGTCAGATACATGAGTTGCAAATATTTTCTCCTCTTCTGTGGGTTGTCTTTCCACTTTCTTAATAATGTCCTCTGATGTACAAAAGTTTTTAATATTGGCAAAGTCTAATTCATCTGGTTTTCTTTTGTTGCTTGTGCCTTTGATGTCATATCTACAAAACCGTTGCCAAATCCAGGGTCTAAAAGATTTACCCTCCTATCTTTTCTTCTAAGTGTTTTATAGTTTTAGTTTTATATTAGGTCTTTGATCCATTTTGAGTTAATTTTTGAACATGGTATAGGTAACAGGCTAATGTATTCTTTGTGCATGTTGGCAATCTAGTTGTCTGGCACCATTTGTTGAAGATACTGTTCTTTCCCTCTTGTCTTGACACCCTTGTCAGAAATCGATGACCATTGATATATGGGTTTACTTCGGGACTTTCTGTTCTATTCCATTGATCTGCATGTCTGTCCTTATGCCAGTACCATACTGTTTTTATTACTGTTACTGTGTAGTACGTTTTGAAGTCAGAAAGTATGAGTCCTCCGGCTTTATCTTATAAAAAACCCGACTTTTGGTTTTGCTGATTCTTCTTCTGTTTTGCTTCATTAATTTGTGCTCTCATCTCATCTTCATTATTTTCTTCCTTTTACTATATTCTTTGGGTTGATATTACTGCTCTTTTCCTAATTCAAATTATTATTTATTAGCTTATTAACTTTTATCTCTTAAAAATACGCATTTTAAGTGTGTACATTTTCTTCAGTATACTGCACCAGCGGATCCACAGGTTTTCATTTTTTAAATTAATTTATCTCAGTTTTCATTTTTAGTAGTTTTCTGTTTATAATTTGCTGTTGTAATTCGGATACATTTAGTTTTGCCATTTTTTAAAAGCTTGTTACACATAGTTTTGTAAGCTGTGATCATTTTAGTGTTTAAGTTCTTTGCAGGTCTTTTTCTCTTGTCTGTGTCAAGAGTTTCTTGACAGTTTGGGGGGCTAGCCCTATCAGATATCGATATATTATAAAATGAAAATAATTAAACATTGTGATATTGGTACAAAGGTAGAAAATAGACAGTGGAAAGAATAGAGTACCCAGAACCACCCATTCCCTGCCTATTTGAATACTTTCTATGTGACAGAACACCATTGCAGATCACTAAGGAAAGGGCTTCAATGACTTGTGCTAGGTTAATCGGATAGACACATGAAAAAAAATAAATTGGATACCTTCCTCACATCGTATAAAAATCAGTTCCAGGTTGAATAAATACCTCTATGTAAAAGCCAACAACTGTATAAAGCTTTTAATAACATAAAGAGCATATTATCCATGATTTTAAGGCTGGAAAGATTCTTAATCAAGACACAGAAAGCATGAAAAGGATTGATCGGTTCAGCTACATTGTTTTGGAACTCATCTTTGCCAGAAATCTTTATAAGGGGAGTGAGACAGCAAGCCTCCAACTAGAGAAGATATTTGCAACACATAATTGAGAAAGGACTGTTACAAATTAACCGGGTTTGGCAGCATGCACCTGTAATCCCACTTTCTTGGGAGGCTGAGGCACCAGAATCACTTGAACCTGGGAGATGTAGGTTGCAGTGAGCCGAGATCGTGTCACTGCACTCCAGCCTGGGCTACAAAGTGAGACTCTGTCTAAAAGAAAAAAAAAGAAGAAGGTGTAAAGAACTCGAACAGTTGAACTAGAAAGAGACTTCAAAAATAGGAAAACTGAAAGGAAAGTATACAGAAAAGATGCCCAGTCTCCTTAGTATTTAAGAGAAGTGCAGACTAAAACCAAGTGAGATATTAGTTACATTTAAAAGTCTGTCAATTCCATGTTGGTGTTACCCCTTTGGAAAATTGGTTTTTTTATCACCTAAAATAGTTGAGCAGGTGCTTATCCTATGGCCCAGCAGATTAACTCGTAGATACCCTAGAAGTTAGGGTAAATAACCCTAGAAAAGCATAAGCAAATGTGTGGGGGAGGCATCTACAAGAATGTTCATAGCAACGTTTTTTATCATAGCCTAAAATTGGAAACAGCCTAAATATCCCTCAGTAGTAGATTAGATAAACTGTGGTATATTCATGTAGTGGAATATCATTCCATAGGCCCAATTTGTGAACTACAGCCACACACACTCTCACACGCATGTATCACAGTTATAAAATCAGGTGAAAGAAGCAAACGCAAAAGGATATGTATGCCATGATTTCTTTTATATGAAGTTTGGTAAGAGCCAAAACCGAAAAATATGACTGGGATAAATACTTAGATTGTGAAGTTACAAAGAAAAGCAAGGCAATGATTTCCACAAACTTTAGGATAAATGGTACCTCTTGGGTGTGAGAGGAGGAGATGATTATGGGGGGAATTTTAAGGGATTGGTAATGGGTGATGGATACACTGGTGTTCATTCTTTTTTTAAGTGTGTGTATATACAGAATACACTTTGTTATGTAATAGTTTTTGTAAGATGCATTTTTTGTACATTTCTATGCCAGTTATCTGTAATCATGATGAAGTGGTTGATTTTTTTTAAAGGAAAATAAAAATAACCAAAATCGATAAAAAGAAAAAGACCTGATTGATTAATATTATGGAAACAGCATCAGACCAGCTACTTTTATACATGAATTCTATCGAGGAACGTGACCCACTTTTTAGAGTTCCACTTTTGTATTTCCGTACGTCTGTTGCATATTACCCCTGATCACATTAATAGGGTCTCCAAATTAACATGTCCAAAATCAGTGTTTTTATCTTTTTGCTTTTCCAGTGTGTCACTTGATAGTCTGTTTGTTCTTGGTTGACTGCCCTTAGTTGACTTATGACTGCCTCTGTAATTACCTTATAATGATTTCATTTTCCTTATGTTCTCAGCTGTTTTCCACTTCCCTTCTCCCCCAATCTCTTACTGCTCCACAGGACCTCATGTCCTTTTCTAGGGTGAAAACAGCCACTGAACATGAATTATTTCAGTTTACCTTTCCTAGGCTTGAATGCTTCCCTGTTGCTTTCAGAATAATACTTATACTTTTAAAAAAGGAAATGTATTATAGCTATCATCACTTTCACACTTTAAAGCAAATAAAGTTTTTACCACTTCATACTACTAACATTGCTCTCTCTTGTACTATTATACTTCTCTAAGTTTTCCTTTCTACCCTGATGACCGTTGTGCATTTCTTCTTCCATCCTTGCCTTTCTTCTTTCTTTCCCCTGGGGCGTAGGGGGGAGCTTACATATAGGTCTTCCCTAAGGTGCTGTCCTTAGTCTGCATCTTTCTTCTTACTAATTTGTATGTAAAATGAGAATTTATATGACACAGTAAGTATGTTTTCTACTTGGGTTAATAATATCACTACCCTTCCTGGCATGCAGACTGAAATTTCTTGAGTTCTAGCTTCTTCCTCATTGCCTGTATAGCCAGTTGACTAGCAAATTTCATTGATTCTTTCCAAAACTTCAGAAAATTTTCCTCATTTTCATTGACATGACCAGCTTTATTTGCCTTGCTTAATGTCCTCAGATGTGGTTTGCCAGTGGTCTGTGATGCAAAAGTAAATTCATCGTACCTTTTTCCAGCTTTATTTCCTGCAGTGGATCCTTTATGAAACCTGTATGCCCAGCAAAATGGAATATTTTTCTTTGACAGTTGCTGTTTTTGCCTCTGTTCTTTCCTCTCACTATTCATTCCCTTCACCATATCCCCCATCCCTTCTACCTCTTTTCTCCTTACACAATGAGTCTTAGAAAGAAAGATACGGAAGTGAAAATTACCTTTTTTCAGGCCAGATTCTTAGCCTCAAAGATATCTGTAGCATTTCATTTGTATCTTTTCTGACCCTTGTTTCTGCCTTGCTTTAAGATGAACTTTGAGTGTTTTATTTCTACTAACTAGTTTCTCTATTTCTTGGGATCAGGGAGTCATCTTTGTGTCCCAGACTCAGAAGAGGAAATCATATACTGTTCATGTGAATTAATGGGGAACAAATACAAAGAAAAAAACCACATTTTCTTTTTATTAGCCTCTATTTTGGGGGTGGGGGGTGGGAAGTGGGTAGGGGTTTCTAAAATCATTAAATTTTAGTTAAGAGCGATCTTACCACTAATTTATTCCAAGACCATAGTTTTATGAACAAGAAAAATGTGCCTCCAAAATTTAAGTGGATTCCACTGTATCACACTGCTCACGTAATTTGTGATTTCCAAAATTTTATTAGTTTTTTTTTTTTTTTTTTTTGAGATGGAGTTTCACTCTTGTTGCCCAGGCTGGAGTGCAATGGCGTGATCTTGGCTCACTGCAACCTCCACCTCCCGGGTTCAAACAATTCTCCTGCCTCAGCCTCCTGAGTAGCTGGGATTACAGGCGCCTGCCACCACGCCCAGCTGATTTTTGTATTTTTAGTATGGACAGGGTTTCACCATGTTGGCCAGGCTGGTCTCGAACTCCTGACTTCATGATCCGCCCACTTCGGCCTCCCAAAGGGTTGGGATTACAGGCGTGAACCGCCACACCTAGCGTGGTATTTATTTTTTAGAAATGGGGCCTCGCTGTGTTGCCCAGACTGGAGTGCAGTAGCTATTCACTGGCCTGAACATAATGCACTGCAGCCTTGAACTCTTGGCGTCTAGCCATCCTCACGCCTCAGCCTCCTGAGTACTGAAAATTTTAAGGTCATTTTGCCTTCAGTCCCACATGGGAGCAGGAGTCCTAGGTGAGCTGGGGTTGCCATAACCATAATTGAATGTGAGTCCCCTGGCAGAAAGGTAACCTCCTTTTCTTTATATGCGCTCATAGAAATTCATTTATCTATTCCTATTTCTCTTTTCTCCCCACCTTTGGCTTTGGTAGCTGGAGCTGGCAAGAAATCTTTCTTATTTTCTGTAATGTGTTTTATAAATTATGTGTGGTCTAATGATTATATGGTTGTAAGAAAAATACCATAAAGGAAGAGTGTTTGTCCTTAGTTTTCATCTTTAGTTATCCATAAAATCTGAACTCTACCCTGAAAAATTTGTCGTCATTGTATTTTTCATCTTTCCTCGATATCTACTTGTTAGTTCAATACTATCTTTTATCAATTTTAATGTACTGTTCCAAAGAACATATTTGTTACTGTTTTCATAGGGAATTGAGCAGTAGGACGTTTTTCTTACAGAATTAAACTTACATTTTTCTCCATCCACTAGATGGCTCAAGTGCACCACTTTGGCAGCTCAGATTGATCCTTGCTTGCTTTGCTTGTAGTTTCTACTTTGAGTACTGTTTGCTTTTTAAAAACTGGATGAGCCCTTACCTGAACCTAGCTTTACATATATGTGATGGCAGATTTCCTCGCATTTTCTGATTATTTACAGACTTCTGAAAAGCTGGTGAAGTGTTCTTCATATCAGTAGTAAAAAGTGCATTACAGTGCTTAGAAGATTTTGTTTTTTGCTTTTAAGTTATTTTAGACTTTAATTCAATTGCCAATAATCTATTTAGATTTCTTCAAACTAGGCATGCAGTTAATAATTCATCCATTTCTTCCTGATTCATAGTCATTTGGAGTCATTTTCCAGCACATGGTGGTACCTCAGGAGTTTTTGAGGCACACGGGGCTATTTGCTTCAGTTCTGTAGTAATATTTATTTAGTGTTTTTGTGCTTGGAATTGTATGGGGCAGTGGAGGGAAATACCAGGATGACTAAAGAGGATATTTTCATCAGCAGGGAGCTCACTGCGTTAATTCGTTTCCTTAAGTTTCCTTTTTTATTATTTTTTATTTTTATTTTCCCTGAAAGCACACATTGGTATCTTGAGTTTTTGAAGCCAAATAATGAGTATAATGAAATGGCTCATTAGAGCTTATGTTTGTAACCAACCCTGAGGAGAATTTTGTTTTTGACATTGACCCTGTTGATATTGCCTGAAAAAATTTAAAAAAAAAAACTGAATTCTTTAGAAATATTTTATGCTTATGGCTTTCTGTTTTGAGTTAAGTAAAAAGGAAAAGGAATTAAGATTTGTTGAATGCTTATCATGTGCCAGTTTCTTACTTAATTTGATGCTCTCAATAATTTGGAAGACAAGTACAAATATCTCTATTTACAGATGAAGAAACTAAGGAATCAGAAGTTGCCTAGGATCAAAGAAACAGTAAGTTAGAGAGGCAAACTCTTTGTGATATCAAGGGTTGTTTTTTATTTTTTTGCCCAAGAGAAAATAATTATTTTCTGAAATGGCAGAAACATTTGTAATATCAACTAGTTGGATACTTTCATATCCTAAAGACAGAAAACTCCAAACAAAGGATTGATTGCCTCTCACAGTTGATCTTTGAGATTATAAACAAATATTCTTGCCAAGCTAGAGCAATCAGTCATACTGGTATCTCTTTTACAGATACCTTTAGAATGACAGCAAACACTATAAAATTGATTTTTCCAGAGAAAGTGTTTGCACCTAATAATCTTATTTTTCAGGAATAATAACTGAATTATTTCATCAGTTTGAAAATATAGTGTACGATTTAAAGGAGAATGGCAAGTTATTGATGTAAATACACATTATTTACAATATTATAACTAGATTACATTACAAATATTGTAACAACAATTTGTCTTTATAAAATCCCCTTGATTTCTCTTTATTGTTTAAGAGTCCTTGCAGCTAAGCCGTGTAAAACAGGAAATATGGCTGTTTGCCAGTGTTCTTAAGGAAGCAGGAGTGAAGTAAAGCAAACAATACAAAAGGGGTTTGTTTAAAGGATGTACTTAATTTCTGTGTGGCTGTGGTATCATTTTTCTGGCTCTGTTGTCTTTGTCCTTTTTCACTGCAAAGTTGAAATTGTACTTTCACAACTATTAAAACAAAAATAACCAGTAATGCGAACTGAACCCAAAGATATCTAAGATAAATATCCTCCCATGACTGTAAATTTGTATCCTCCATATCACCTTAGAAATTTTCGTATGCATTGACTAGATTTATTGCTATTTTTGTTCTTTTTTTATGTATTATCAGATATTGCCGTCAGTACTATTACCGCATTTACACAATGTTGCCTTGTGTGGAAATTCTAAACCTTTGCTAACTCTTGGTAACCAAAATAACGATAAACTAAAGAGATTATTATCCCATCTTTTGAGAGAAATGTAAAATTATTCATTTGTCTATAAAGAATCTTTGACAAAAGTATTTTTTAAAGCATATTGAATCCTAGCCATTTTATTATTATTAGCTGTGTACCTAAATGATATTTTAGATATGAGTATAAGGAAGACAAACTTTAGGTTGTCAAAGAATGAGCATGTCTCATGTGTTACAGTCATGGCATGACAGTTGGATTACAATTATCTCTTGATGAATCAACTTCATCTAAACCTTAATTGCATATTAAATTATTTAGTCATTTCCTGATTCAGTAATGAGAAGTCAGAATATATAGTAATTTACTGGGTAGCATGTTACATGCCATAGTTTGCGGAATGTACTTGATCAGTAAAGTCCACAGTAAATCAAAGACAAATGAGAAAATTCTTTTAGAATTCAGTTTTTTTTTTCTTAATTTGAAGTCACTTTAAATGCTCTTATGTAATAAGAAAAGAACCCTAGGTATATTTAAATACTTAACCTGCTATAACTTTTTGTTGGAAAGGAGGTAGATTTTTTTTATGAGTATTTTTTTCCTATGGGAAAAAAAATAACTTTGGTGATGCAGTATGCCTTTATCTGTGTATTGTTAAAAACTAAACTAAACAAAAAAAACCCCTAAGAACCTTTAAACTTAACAAAGTTTATTTGAGCAGGAAAAAGGTTCTAGAAGCAGACAGCACTCTAAGATGGTTCAGAATACTACCACTTACAACTGGTGAGCTGTTCTAATAACAGGGAAAAATAGGAAATGTCATACAGAAATTACCTGATTGGTGCAGGTTGGTGTTTGCCTTATTTGGGCATAATCTAGCAGCTTTTAACCTGGGATTGGCTGAGACTCAGATGTGTGGTTATAAGGGTATACTCCTAAGTTAGGTTATAACTTGTTTACACATCAAGCTAGAGTACAGTTAATAGTGTATGGAGGCAGCTTTGGGCCAAATCTGATTGAACAGTATAAAAATAAGTTTTGCAAATATTTATCCTTACCACATGAGTTACATCCTAATATTCTTTATTCTCTTCTATTTCACTAAAAAAAATTCAAATCCACCAAATTCATTTCATGGCCCATCGGTGTGTTGGAGCTCATTAGTTTGGAAAACACTGCCATATAGGGTTGAAAAATTTTTTTTCTTTTTTTACCCTGTTAACAACTGACTAGTCTGAAGGAGCTCAAATATTTGGAAAGCTTTATTAGTGCAGTTTAGTAGCTGGCTTTTAAAAAAAAAAAATTGCTTTCTAGAATCCTCCCTGCTACATAATCACCAAATGTTATTTCAATATTGTTTTCCTAACTTGAAAATTTAACTGAATGACTAGAAGGTGTTGGACCAAGAAATATCTGAAGTACCAAGCCCACAAAGGAAAATTTAATATTGATTGAGGTATCATGGTTATTTGTGCACCCTTAAAATTAAGCCAATTTTAGTTAATAGAAGTTTCAGCTGGGTGTAGTAGCGCAGCACTTTGGGAGGCCAAGGCAGGAGGATCACTTGAGGCCAAGAGTTTGAGACCAGCCTGGGCAACAGAATGAGACCCCATCTATACAATTTTAAAATTAAGCAAGCTTGGTGGTACACGCCTGTAGTCCTAGCTATTCAGGAGGCTGAGATGGGAGGATTGCTTAAGCCCAGGAGTTTGGGGCTGCAAGTGAGCCATGCTTGTGCCGTTGCATTCCAGCCTGGGTGGCAGAGTGAGATCTTGTTTAAAAATTAAAAATAAATAAATAAATAAATAAATAAATACATATATATGTTTACATATATATATAAATTTCAAGTTAATTGTTTAAAGGATGTCATTAACCAAAACTAAGCATCAGTCTTTGGTAATGAAAGCATTCTAAAAGTCTTTCTTTTAGATAGATTGAAAAGTCTATCTTGCAGACAAAGATAATTTTATTAATCATAAGTAACATTATTATGAAAAGTATTTGTGAATATTAATAACTCAGTTTCTTCACTTATGTTGAGTTGCTTTACATGTTTTATCTTTGCATAATCTGTAAACTTGATGTTTCGTAGTTGACAGAATAAGTTTACAGTTAGATATATAGGTAACTTTTAGTTCAATGTTTTAAAAATTGTGTCATGAGAAGTATAAATAAAATTCAACGAAAGATACCATTTCTTGGCCTTATATAATGGCATATATTTGAACACTTGGAGATAGTGGAAAAGGGCATTTCACATAAGGGGACAGAGGCATCAAGGCAGAAAAGCTTAATATGGTCCAGGAATAAAACATTCAACTGGATGGGCTTTGTTCTAAAGGCAGTTTTTGAGAGAAGAGAGAATTAAATTAACTTATATTACAATACCTACTTGCTACAGGAGATAATGGGTGGATTTGAAGGGAGTGAAATTAGGCAGAGAGAGTAGTTAAGAAATCATTGAAATATTTTAGAGAAGAAATGAGATTGAAGTAGGACAGTGTCTAAGGAAATAAAAAGTAATTTATCAAGACAGTAAAATCAACACAATTTGGCAGCTGATTAGATTAATTCAAAAATATTTGAGTGTGTGCTATGCAATTCTGGGAATCCAACTGTGAACAAAATGCATGCTCTTTACCCTTACATGTGTTTTAGTCCAATGGGAAGCACAGACATTTCAATTCAGGGTAATACATGTGCTGCCATGGAGAAAGACTCAGTGTTGTCTTGGGAGTGAGTATACTGACTGAACTTGAAGCCTCAGGGATGAGTAGGTCTTGACCAGGTAAAGTTGGGGTTAGAGTGTGTTACAGATTCCTCCCTGTCCTCTCCCCGCATGTTGGCTTGGAGGTGAAAAGATTGTGGTACTTTTAAAGCAGTTAATTGTGGCTGGATCCTGGGATTGGAGAGGGAGGAGGATCTGGTAAGAGAGGGCCAGGGCCAAATCATCCAGAGTCCTGAAGTTCCTGGAATCCCCTAGTTCTTGGTCCACAACCCTAATGAAGCCTTGGATTTTATCTTAGGAACAGAAATTAACTGTGGTATGATTTTAAGCAAGGGAGATTCAGGGTCAAAATTGCATGTTAGAAGAATTATTTTAGCTAAGAATGTCTTAGTTATAAGTCAGAAACTTAAGCAAAAGACAAAGAAAGTGACCCAGAGGATTCAGCATATGCAGAGGTAGGAAGTGCGGCTGGACTTCACAAAGATTTGGAACCAGACATGGTTCAGTATCAGATGCGTCCTCTTCTGTTGTATCGCATAGTGTCTTGTCTCTCATGTCTGCTTCATTGCTCTGTGTATACTGTCTTCTCTTAACTATACAGCTCTAACTTAACAGCCTCTGAATTTCTCTCCCACTTTCAAGTCCTCTGGAGAGAGTCTGACTGGTTCCTTGTCAGTTGTCTACCCTTGGTTTAATCAGCTGTGCTAAGAGGGCAGGGTCATGTAGCATAAACATGGTGCTTCAAAGCCAACCCCTCTCACAGTTAAGGGGTATGGTGAGTTGTGGGCTAGGCAGAATTCTTAGAAAGAACCAACTTCAGAAGATCATTTTGGCTGCAGAATGAAGAATTCAGGGGAAGGGAACTAAAGGAAGGGGACCTCTTTAAGAGAATACAGTAATCCAGGCAGTAGGTAATACTGCCCTGAATCAGGGGTAAGTAAGAAGAGAACTGATCTGTGGTAGATTAAAGGTTGAATCTCCAGAAGTGTATGTAGATTGGATATTGGAGTATAAAGAGTCAAGGATAGTGTTTGTGTTTCTGGCTTGAATACCTGAATGGATGATGATAGCAATCCCTGAGCTGAAGTAGCATCGCAGCAAATTTAGTGGGGATTGAAGACGAAGAATTTATTTTTGTGCACGTGCAGAGTTTGAGATAGCCTCAAGACATCTAAGTGGTAATGATTAGTAGACCCTTGAATATATGCATCTATAGCAGAGGGAAAAGCTCAATAGTAGATACATATTTGAAATTCTTTAGTGTTAAGTGATAACTAGAGCCATGAGGGTAGATGAAATTGCCATGGGAGAGTGTAACAAGACAAGAGGGCCAAGACAGCCATGAAGAGAATCTGAGGGCTAGCAGAGGGGGGAAAATGAGCCTACAGGGCAGACTGGGAAGGAACAGAAAGGTGTGAGAAAAATCCAGAGTATGCAGTGTTTTTAGAAACCCAAGAAAAGTGCTTCAGGCAGGAGAATGTGGTGAAAGTGTCAGGTGCTGATGAGCAGCATAGGAAAAAGTCAAGTTCTGTTTAGGAGCAAGAAGTTTGTTGATGACCTTGGTGAATGAGCTTAATGGGATTGGTGAATATGGGAAACAGGATTGAGGACTCTGGCAAGTGAAGAAATCAAAATAAATATAAACAGTGCTTGAGCTATAAGGAGAAAGAGTGGGTAGAGATGATTATGACAGCGAAGTAAGGTTTTTATGTATTTTTTAAAATATCAGGGTCTTGATCATATTTCAGTGCTAGGAGAAAGAGTGATAATCAGTTGAGCAAGATCAGGAGATTCTTCAGGGCACTATTACATTGTAATGGTGAAGAGTGAAGCAAAAGTATGTGGAAACTAGTTTAGTGAATGGAAGAAGAGGTATTCCCTGACTTTCATTTTCTCTAGGAAGAGGTTGGGATTATTTACAAATAAGGTAAAGTCGAAGACTTAGGGAACAGGAGGACAGTTTGTAATAGATACTGTAGAAATTAGACTAGTGCAACTTGGGATTTTTTTTTTCACTAGCTTAATTAGAGGTCTTAAATTGAAAGCAGCACCAGTATACATCATTGTATTGGTTTTGTTCAGCAGTCTGATTACATGCTTATGTTGTGCTACTTCAGGTTGGTACATTGAGAGTAAGATATTGACATGATGGTGGTCTGACTAATGGAACATGGAATATAAGCTGTGGAAGGAAAGAAGTAAAAGTGAGGACTAATAGAAAAGTGAGTTGTTAAAGGCCTAGAGGTCTTATGTGCAAAGAATAAGTGACAGTAACTCAGCTTGAGAGGCAGGTCCTAAAATGAGGGTAACACTAAAGGGGAATGGACCAATAGCGTCTTAGGAGATTTTCCTGCATTTGCCTGCATTGCTGGAAGAATGGTATTGCTGATAAAAGAAGTAAACATGGAAGGAAGAGCAAGTTAGTTTTAGAGGGAAGAAAAGTTAGATTTTTACTGTTTCCCCTTTGAGTACCTATGGATCATTCATACTGAGATGACCAAGAGGCAGTTGAAAATATAAGGGAGAAGCCAGGGCTGGAAACAAAATTGGGAGATTATAATTGAACCCATAAATTTACAAAGAATATAAAGTGGTAAGGTCTACTTAGACGCTATGTACATTTAAGGAGTAAGAAATAGAGAAAAGATGCTTACAAGCTTTGAGAATTTGTGAAGAAACTCAAAAGAGGTTGAAAGGGTTGACCAAGCAGATCACCGGATTTGTGAGTGGCTTTCCAGAGGGTTTAGTGGAGCATGAAAGGAGATTGGAAAGGTTTGAAGAGTAACTGACTTTCTGAGAGTATGTATATTGCCAATGAATGATGTATTATTATATGTGATTTTTAAAATCTCCCCAATATACTGATATTTTTAAAATAACTTTAATTTGCTTTTTTATTAAAAAAATTATTAGCTATAGTCTGGCTTTCTGAAATAGAGTATACTGGTCATTTAATTTGTTAATGCCTCAGGAGTATCATAGTTATCGATTATTACTCAGAGCTATAATATGGTTGGGCCCTTTCAAGTGCTGTTAAGACCATTTGTTTTTGTACTGAATGCCTTCAGTGTGTTGTGTTTTTCAAGGCCTTCTTTCCCTTGTCATTTGTTGCATTAAGTCATTTGACAGTATTATTCAAGGATTTTTTTCCCCCTCGAAGCACTTTACTGTGTTATAGTTTATAATTATTGGAAGCCTCTGTAGATATATCTGAGGATATGGGGGTTGGTGGGGAGTAGTATCTCCTACTATAATCATACAAGACAGAATACTTCTGTGGCCTCTGGTCACCAAAATGTATGAAGATTTCTCTCCAACAGACACCAACTGGGTGTCTTCTGATTCAATTCTATTCTGACATTGTCTTCCGGAAAACAGCATCAGATCCCACAGGATGAGGTCTCAGTCCCACAACACTGCCCCCCTACTTCAGATGCCAGTCACAGGCATAAGTTGTAGCCTTGTGTCTGACTGAATAGCTATAAATTGGGGTTCCCATGATCCGCTCCTTGGGTTCGATTAATTTTCTAGAGTGGCTCACAGAACTCACAGAAATACTTACATTTATCCACTTATTATAAAGGATATTACAGAGAATACAGATGAACAGCTAGATGAACAGACAAGATGCATAACACAAGGCGTGGAGAAGGGGCATGGAGTTTTCATGCCTTCTCCAGCTATGCCACGCTCTGGGAACCTGCATGTGTTAATGTTATCCAGAAGCCCACAAAACAGTCCTTTAGAATTTTTATGGAAACTTGTTTACTTAGGAATGATTGATTAAATCATTGGCCATTGGTTTATCGACTCAACCTTCAGCTCCTCTCCCCTTCCTAGAGGTTGGAGTAGGACCGAAAGTTTCAACCCTCTAATTATGATTACAAACAGAAAGGAATAGTACCAACATCAAAGACCAAAGGTAGATAAGTCCATGAAGATGGGGAGAAACCAGCGCAAAAAGTCTGAAAATTCCAAAAACCAGAACACCTCTTCTCCTCCAAAGGATCACAACTCCTCACCAGCAAGGCAACAAAACTGGATGGAGAATGAGTTTGACGGATTGACAGAAGTAGGCTTCAGAAGGTGGGTACTAACAAACTCCTCCAAGCTAAAGGAGCATATTCTAACCCAATGTAAGGAAGCTAAGAACCTGGAAAAAAGGTTAGACAAATTGCTAACTAGAATAACCCGCTTAGAGAAGAATTTAAATGACCTGATGGAACTGAAAAACACAGCACGAGAACTTTGTGAAGCATACACAAGTATCAATAGCTGAATCGATCAAGTGGAAGAAAGGATATCAGAGATTGAAGATTAACTCAATGAAATAAAGTAAGAAGACCAGATTAGAGAGAAAAAAAAAAAGAGTGAAAAGAAACAAATAAAGCCTCCAAGAAATATGGAACTATGTGAAAAGACCAAATCTACGTTTGATTGGTGTACCTGAAAGTGACCGGGAGAATGGAACCAAGTTGGAAAACACTCTTCAGGATATTATCCAGGAGAAGTTCCCCAACCTAGCAAGGCAGGCCAGCAACATTCAAATTCAGGAAAATACGGAGAACACCACAAAGATATTCCTCGAGAAGAGCAGCCCCAAGACACATAATTGCCAATTCATCAAGGTTGAAATGAAGGAAAAAATCTTAAGGGCAGCCAGAGAGAAAGGTCGGGTTACCCACAAAGGGAAGCCCATCAGACTAACAGTGAATCTCTTTGGCAGAAACCCTACAAGCCAGAATAGAGTGGGGGCTAATATTCAACATTCTTAAAGAAAAGAATTTTCAATCGAGAATTTCATATCCAGCCAAACTAAGCTTAATAAACTAAGGATAAATAAAATCCTTTACAGACAAGCAACTGCTGAGAGATTTTGTCACCACCAGGCCTGCCTTATAGGAGCTCCTGAAGGAAGCACTAAACATGGAAAGGAACAACTGGTACTAGCCACTGCAAAAACATACCAAATTGTAAAGACCATCAATGCTATGAAGAAACTGCATCAACTAATGGGCAAAATAACCAGCTAGCATCATAATGACAGGATCAATTTCACACATAACAATATTAACCTTAAGGGTAAACAGACTAAATGCCTCCATTAAAAGACACAGACTCACAGACTGGCAAATTCGTTAAAGAGTCAAGACCTATCAGTGTGCTATATTCAGGAGACCCATTTCACGTGCAAAGACACACATAAGCTCAAAATAAAGGGGTGGAGGAAGATTTACCAAGTAAATTGAAAGCAAAAAAAAAAAAAAAAAAAAAAAAAAAGCCAGGGTTGCAATCCTAGTCTCTGATAAAAGAGACTTTAGATCAAAAGAGACAAAGAAGGGCATTACATAATGGGAAAGAGATGAATGAAACATGAAGAGCTAACTATCCTAAATATATATGCACCTAATACAGTAGCACCCAGATTCATAAAGCAAGTTCTTAAAGACCTAGAGGCAGACTCCCACACAATAATAGTGAGAGACTTTAACACCCCACTGTCAATATTAGATAGATCAACGAGACAGAAAATTAACAACGATATCCAGGAGTTGAACTCAGCTCTGGACCAAGCAGACCTAATAGACGCCTACAGAACTCTCCACCCCAAATCAACAGAATATACGTTCTCCTCAGCACCACATCGCACTTATACTAAAATTGACCACATAAGTGGAGGTAAAACACTCCTCAGTAAATGCAAGAGAACAGAAATCATAACAGTCTCTCAGACCACAGTGCAGTCAAATTAGAGCTCAGGATTAAGAAACTCACTCAAAAACGCACAACTACATGGAAACTGAGCAACCTGCTCCTGAATGACTACTGGAAAAATAACGAAATGAAAGCAGAAATAAAGATGTTCTTTGAAACCAGTGAGAACAAAGACACAATGTAGGAGAATCTCTGGGACACATTTTAAGCATGCCTAGAGGAAAATTTATAGCACTAAATGCCCATAAGAGAAAGCAGGAAAGATCCAAAATCGACACCCTAACATCACAATTAAAAGAACTAGAGAAGCAAGAGCAAACAAATTCAAAAGCTAGCAGAAGACAAAAAATAACTAAGATCAGAGCAGAACTGAAGGAGATAGAGACATGAAAAACCCTAAAAAATCAATGAATTCAGGAGCTGGTTTTTTGAAAAGATCAACAAAATAGACCGCTAGCCAGACTAATAAAGAAGAAAAGAGAGAAGACTCAAATAGATACAATAGAAAATGATAAAGGGGATATCACCACTGATCCCACAGAAATACCAACTACCATCAGAGAATACTATAAACACCTCTATGCAAATAAACTAGAAAATCTAGAAGAAATGGAGAAATTCCTGAACATATACACCCTCCCAAGACTAAACCAGGAAAAAGTTGAATCCCTGAATAGACCAATAACAAGTTCTGAAATTGAGGCAGTACTTAATAGCCTGCTAACCAAAAAAAGCCCAGGACCAGATGGATTCACAGTTGAATTCTACCAGAGGTACAAAGAGGAGCTGGTACCATTCCTTCTGAAACTACTCCAAACAATAGAAAAAGAGGGACTCCTCTGTAACTCATTTTATGAGGCCAGAATCATCCTGATACCAAAACCTGGCAGAGACACAATAAAAAAACAAAATTTCAGGCCAATATCCCTGATGAACATTGATGTGAAAATCCTCAATAAAATACCGGCAAACCAAATCCAGCAGCACATCAAAAAGCTTATCCACCATGATCAAGTCTGCTTCATCCCTGGGATGCGAGGCTGGTTCAACATATGCAAATCAATAAACATAATCCATCATTATAAACAGAACCAATGACAAAAACCACATGATTATCTGAATAGATGCAGAAAAGGCCTTTGACAAAATTCAGCAGCCCCTCATGCTAAATACTCTCAATAAACTAGGTATTGATGGAACATATCTCAAAATAATAAGAGCTATTTATGACAAACCCACAGCCAATATTGTACTGATTGGGCAAAAACGGGAAGCATTCTGTTTGAAAACCGGCACAAGACAAGGATGCACTCTCTCACCACTCCTATTCAACATAGTATTGGAAGTTCTGGCCAGGGCAATCAGGCAAGAGAAAGAAATAAAGGGTATTCAGTTAGGAAAAGTGGAATTCAAATTGTCTCTGTTTGCAGATGACATGATTGTATATTTAAAAAAACCCCATTGTCTCAGCCCAAATCTTAAGCTGATAAGCAACATCAACAAAGTCTCAGGATACAAAATCAATGTGCAAAAATCACAAACATTCCTATACATCAATAACAGACAGACAGCCAAATCATGAGTGAACTCCCATTCACAGTTGCTACAAAGAGAGTAAAATAAAATACCTAGGTATGCACCTTACAAGGGATGTGAAGGAACTCTTCAAGGAGAACTACAAAACATTGCTCAAGGAAATAAGAGGGGACACAAACAAATGGAAAAACATTCCATGCCCATGGATAGGAAGAATCAGTATCATGAAAATGGCCATACTGCCCAAAATAATTTGTAGATTCATTGATATCCCCATCAAAGTACCATTGACTTTCTTCACAGAATTAGAAGAAACTACTTTAAATTTCATATGGAACCAAAATAGAGCCCACATAGCCAAGACAATCCTAAGCAAAAAGAACAAAATTGGAGGCATCATGCTACCTGACTTCAAACTATACTACAAGGCTACAGTAACTAAAACAGTATGGTACTGATACCAAAACAGATATATAGACCAATGGAACAGAACAGCAGCCTCAGAAATAACACCACACGTCTACAACCATATGATCTTTGACAAACCTACAAAAACAAGCAGTGGGGAAAGGATTCCCTGTTTAATAGATGGTGTTGGGAAAACTGGCTAGCCATATGCAGAAAGCTGAAACTGGATTCCTTCCTTACACCTTATACAAAAATTAACTCAAGATGGATTAAAGACTTAAATGTAAGACCTAAAACCATAAAAATCCTAGAGGAAAACCTAGGCAGTACCATTCAGGACATAGGCATGGGCAAAGATTTCATGACTAAATCACCAAAAGCAATTGCAACAAAAGCCAAAATTGATAAATGGTATCTGATTAAAGAGTTTCTGCACAGCAAAAGAAACTATCATCAGAGTGAACAAGCAGCCTACAGAATGGGAGAAAATTTTTGCAATCTATCCATCTGACAAAGCGCTAATATCCAGAATCTACAAAGAACTTAAACAAATTTACAAGAAAAAAGCAACCCCATCAAAAAGCAGGCGAAGCATATGAAGAGACACTTCTCAAAAGAAGACATTTATGCAGCCAACAAACATATGAAAAAATGCTCATCATCACTGGTCATTAGAGAAATGCAAATCAGAAACCACAATGAGATACCATCTCACTCCAGTTAGAATGGCAATCATTAAAAAATCAGGAAACAGATGCTGGAGAAATAGGAACACTTTTGCACTGTTGGTGGGAGTGTAAATTAGTTCAACCATTGTGGAAGACAGTGTGGCAATTCCTCAAGGATCTAGAGCTAGAAATACTATTTGACCCAGCAATCCCATTACTGGTTACATACCCAAAGGATTATAAATCATTCTACTATAAAGACACATGCACATGTATGTTTATTGTGTCACTGTCCACAATAGCAATGACTGGGAACCAACCCAAATGCCCAACAGTGATAGACTGGATAAAGAGAATGTGGCACATATACATCATGGAATACTCCACAGCCATAAAAAGGATGAGTTCATGTCCTTTGCAGGGACATGGGTGAAGCTGGAAACCATGATTCTCAGCAAACTAACAAAAGAACAGAAAACCAAACACCGCATGTTGCCACTTCTAAGTGGGAGTTGAACAATGGGAACACATGGACACAGGGAGGGGAACATCACACACCAGGGCCTGTCAGGGGTTTGGGGGAGGGATAGCATTAGGAGAAATACCTAATGTAGATGACGTGTTGATGGGTGCAGCAAACCACCATGGCACATGTATACCTATGTAACAGACCTGCACATTCTGCACATGTACCCCAGAACTTAAAGTATAATTTAAAAAAAAAATACATTTCTTGGACCCGTGGTAGAAAGACTGATCACTATATCCAGATATCCACTCCCTCACTGCTCTTGGTCAATTGAACCCTTCAACTTTTAGTTGGGTACATGGCTACTTTGCGGTAAGATGTGACTGTGGTGTGTGAGCCAAGCTAATTTGCGCAGAAGGAATTGTGTAGCTTGCAAGTCATATCCTCAGAAGAGAAGATGCTCACCCTTGTCTTCTTTCCACCCCTCCCCTGGATTGGAGAAGAGATACGTTATTGCCCACCACATGGGCAGTAACTCCCTAGGAGGTGACAGAGCAACAGGATAAAAGGAACCTGGGTCCTTGGATAACTTCATGAAATAGAGTTGCCTTTTCTCTGTGGCTCTCCCACTTAACTCTGGACTATTATATGAGAAATAAATAAACTAAATTGTTTGAAAAATAAATAAAAGATGAATAGGGAGGGAGTGACTACAAAAGTTGCTTATCAGGAATTCTAATTGGTTTACAGAAATAACATTGGTTAATGATTTTCTATACATTGTTAAATTGTAAGGTGTGTGGCATTTTATGTCTTCTTGAGGTCAGTTAGTCTAGAGCTTGAATAGCAAGTGGCTTCAAGGGGTAATTATTTACCTCAAGGGAGAATGAGGCATGACTGCTGTTAGATTTTAAATACCTTTTTGGGACTGATAACTTAGGCCCATATTCCTTAGATAAAAAGCTTTTCTTCCCCCCTCCCTCCGCAACCTTTACTCCTTGTGGTCAAAAATCTTTCTTCTCGAAAGCATTGTTAATCAAAATCTAAGTGTCATGATGTCCCTTGTCACCAGGAAGTCTCACTCCCAGGTAGTGCTGTCCCATGTTGATGAGGGAGGAGGAAATGTCTCAGTGAGGAATTTTAAGAGTTCCCAAAAGCTGACTTAGGATGGCATCACAGAGTGGCAGAAATGAGACCTCAGTTAAGTCATTGATTTATGTAAGTCATTGCTTGTTGAATCATCCCTAGTCTTTGGAATCCCATGATTTTAGTTTCCTCCAAAGTAAAACAATGAGAGATACATAACAGTTAAGAATTTGTATTGCAGAAATATAATGCACACATTGACTACAATCAAAAAGTGAATTTACATGTCAGAATGAAAAAAGAACCTATTCATTAGGGAGCCAACAACAAAATCTTGAAAAAAATTAAAACCTGGTTCTTCTTTACAGACTGGTTGTAGCCAGGAAATAATTCAGGATTTAGTCCAAGTGGTAGACAAATAAGAAAACTCAAAAACAATGGTCAGGCTAGAATCTAATAACAGGTGTGTTATAGTTTTCTTATGAAACGTGATTTTTCTGTCTCTAGTCTCCCTTTTATTTTTTTAAAATACATAATTATATATATATAAAATGTATACATTTATACTTAGAAATTTTTTCTTTAGTAACAATCTCACTCTGTCACTCAGGCTGTTGTGCAGTGGCATGATTATAGCTCATTGCAGCCTTGAATTCCTGGGCTCAAGTGATCCTCCACCTCAGCCGTGAGTAGCTGGGCTTACAGGCACAAGCCACTACACCCATCCAGTGCCTCTTTTCTACCGAAGAGAAATAGACCAATTTATTTGCAAAAAAAGTTTTAGAGTTATTATACTTGGCCTGATTTATTTGCATAAAGTGCAGCAAGAGTAGTGATTGGTCATATAGACTAGTTGGCTTTGCCTGAAACTTTTTCGTTAGAAATTTTGGATTAGACTTTTGGAAACTTCTCAAGTCTAAGAAGTCAAGCCAGGGATTAACCATCAGCCTGTGCCTGTAATACTTTCACAGTTTGGTGAATTCTTCTCTTCTTGAAGTCCCAAAATATTTTGATATTCCTGAAACTCTCAGAAAGTGACATTCTTTACATACCGCAAGTCAGGATTCTTGTAAGGGAACAGTATAGACAACTTATTAGGTCAAGTCTTTCCAAGGGGCTTTTTATTGGCTCTATAAAGTCAACCTTAATTCCTCAAAGTAGTTTGATCATATGCTGTTCCAGTTAAACCTTGGTACAATAACCAGTGTCTCCAATGCGTCCTCTTACAAAACAAAGAAAATATTGCACTTATACAAACAACTATATTGTCATAAATGTCATAAAATAAGAATATTCACAAATAGTTCCCAAATTCTGGAGAAAATCAGGTAAAGAGGAAGGTAAATGTTTCACTTTTCCCCACAAAAGTATACTTTACCTAATTGCTATGAGCTATAAATGGCTCAAAAAAAATGTGGACTCTGGCAAAACAAATATGAGAAGAATCAACAATGTTTCAAACAAAAAGTGATTAAAAAATCATTTCAGTCCTCTATCAGTTCAGTCCCATGTAATTAATTCCTGTTCTGTTTCATGTTGGCTTAGCAATCTTCATTAACACATCAGTTTTTTATTCGAATTTTGGAAATTTTTACCTAGTCCAATGGTATCATCTCCATAGTTATCTGAAACCTGTATTCAAGAATACTTGAATATGGTACAAACTCGTATTCAAAGTCCTTTCCACGAATTTCTTTGAAGACACACATTTTAGGATTTGGAGGGAAACAAAGCTCTTAAAAAAAAAAAAAAAAAAAAACAGACTAGATGCAGTGGCTCACGCCTGTAATCCCAGCACTTTGGGAGGCTGAGGTGAGCGGATCATGAGGTCAGTAGTTCGAGACCAGCCTGACCAACATGATGAAACACCGTCTTTAATAAAAATACAAAAATTAGCCGGGCATGGTGGTGCGCACCTGTAATCCCAGCTACCCGGGAGGCTGAGGCAGGAGAATCACTTGAACCTGGGAGGCGGATGTTGCAGTGAGCTGAGATCATGCCATTGTACTCCACCCTGGGCAACAGAGCGAGACTCCGTCTCAAAAAAAAGACATGAGAATAAAACAGTTTACTGCATATACCAAGGCATATCAGATGTTTAGGAATTGCATACAATTTTGGAACACATATCAATACAACTGTAACTCAAAGAAAGCTGAACACTATTTCTTGTCTGACAGTGCTTTCCATGTTTGAAATTTGATTTGGGGGAACTGTATCAGATATCAAAGGTTTAAAACACTAGATATGGCCGGGCGTGGTGGCTGACACCTGTAATCCCAGCACTTTGGGAGGCTGAGGCAGGCAGATCACCTGAGGTCAGGGGTTCGAGACCAGCCTAGCTAACATGGTGAAACCCCATATCTACTAAAAGTACAAAAAAATTAGCCGGGCGTGGTGGCATGCACCTGAATGTGAGCTACTTGGGAGGCTGAGGCAAGAGAATCACTTGAACCCAGGAGGAGGAGGTTGCAGTGAGCCAAGATCACGCCAGTGCGCTCCAGCATGGGCGACAGAGCAGGGCTCCCATCTAAAAAAAATAAATAAATAAATGTAAATTAAACAGATATCAAGATAAGAAAGGTTTGAAATGCTCAGTGTTAAAATAGGATCACAGGTCATTGTAAAACAGTCATTTAAACAAAGTGATAAGTCAGTGATTTTTAAAAAGTCAAAACCTGTGCTCTTTGATTAGCAGGAGACTCCATCAAAGAGTAAGTTTGAGGAGACTGTATCAAAGAGTAAGACTCCATCAAAGACTCACTTTTCCAAATAAGACCTAATAAAGGCAGCATGAGCTCAAGAAAATCTCTCTCTCCCTCCTTTTCTTTTGTAGTTTACTCAAAAGTAAACAAAACCTTTTACTATCTCCTGTTAACACTACCTGAAAATCTTGTTCAAAAGAGAAAACGAAATCCTACCTTTGTATCAGTATATTATTAATATTAAACCTAATTTTAATAAAATCTTACAATAAACAGATCCATCTGATCCCAGTCAGCTTTGACCAGATAAGATTTTCATGAATCTTTTATAAACTCTTACAATTTTATTTTTTCTTTCTCCAACTTTTTAGTTTTAGCTATATCATGTAAATTTTGAAACAATCTTTAACCTCTAAACTAGGCAAAATTACTTTTCCTTTAGCAAAACTCACACCCTCCTCTCTTTTTTATAACTTTCTTCACCAAAAACACATCCTACTTTCATTGTATACTTTGCATACAAGAGTGTTTCCCATGTATCTAGTACTTTTAATTACATATATTAACTACGATTTTAACTCTTAGTAGTTCTAATTTCAAGTGAAAAACCTAGAAAGTAAGTAGTAGTTAACTGGTTTATGTCTGTATTTGTAGACAAATCATTTCATGGTTTCGTAGAAAGATATTTCTATAAAATATAATTGATGCCTACTTTTTTGTTTATTAACAGATCTAAAGATTATTAACAGATCTAAATATATTTAGCTTTTTTATACCATGTAAAAACAAAATACCAAATTATGTAAACTAAACTAAAACATATCTAATAATTAATGTTTTTGTATCTTAATGTATGTAGAAATGACTCAAACATTTTATGATTATCTATTACTTTATTAAACCTAACATGACTTCAAAACTTTAAACTACTGAAAAGAATTTTGAAACTGCAACACAGATACCCTTCCTAATGTCTTCCTCAGTCATACTGAGTCGCAACTACCCACGTGGCACCCAAGTATGATTATGAAGGGGCAGGGCCTATCTGAGTCCTGATTTTACACACCCATAATGGAGCCCAGGACAGAGGACAGAACTGTGAAGATAATGTCTGACTCTTCCCACCATAGCCAGGAGACAACAGCCAGGCCAGAGGGAGTACCACATATGTCTGCAGTCCTCACTTGTTAGAGCCCAGAATCTAATGAGTCTAATACATAAGCTCACAGACAAGTCAAATAAGCATCAAACATATCACAGAAGCAATAGTTTTATGAGCTTCAGACATCTAGTAGAGAAAGCCTAAACCTTTCTGACCAGCAGACCCAGGCAAAAATGTCTGATTGTGTTTAAAACTGACAAGTCTGAAGACATTCTAATTTTATTTTACCAACAATTAAAAAGCTAATTTTATTTCTCAAAGATTACTAAAATCACATTAACTTGAAAAATATTTGGGATTATTAAGCTATGAGCATTAATTTGTCAGTTTGGTACCATGTAAACAATATACAAACAGATCTGTACACATATATACATAAAAATACAAACATAAGTGAAGATTTCATAGCTTTGATATAAAAATTCTAGCCATGAGACAAGTAAAACTCGCTATTTTAAAAGGACATTGGATTCAAAGTTCATAAATAGAACAAGTTCAAGTTTATTGTATATGCCTGAAGCCCTTACCAAGTTTTAAATAACAAGTAGCAAATTTATATTTCAAGCACAGAGAATTTAAGCTTTCCAAAAGGCCAATTCAATTTTACGTTATCTTTGGCAAAAATCATGTTAACAGAATCCAAAAGAGTAAAACATAAAGGCCTTTCTTCTACAAAAAAAAAATATTTTATATATTTTTTATATATTATATATCTTTATATATACTTATATATAATATATATTATATATATGACTCAGGCTAGCTATATATATACAGCTGTGTGTATATATACATATATACACATTCAGGCTAGCTATGTGTATATATATAGCTATGTGTATATATATATATGTATATATATATAGCTATGTGTATATATATATGTATATATATATAGATAGCCTGAATGTCAGCTTTTAATTAAGCTAATTTCTGGCTATAGACCTCTTTCAAAGAAAAAAAAATATTTTCAAGTTTCTTAACAGATTTTAGCTGGAATAAACAGCCAATATTCCTGGCTTTTGACTTTTTTTTTCTTTTTAACCAAGGGTACCTTTCCAAGTGACTCACCAAAACCAATAAGCCTTAAGAAAAATTTTTATGACTTGACCAAGGATGCACAAGCCATCTCCAAAGAGGTGCAAAGCAAGCCCTCACAAGATCCAGAACCACCCCAAAGACAGTTTAAATAATGAAAGTCTTGGTAGCCACAAATAAGGTGCAAATCCACATTTTTGCTTGACTGTACTCTCTAGGGTTTCAGCTGATGGCAGACAGAAGAAGACAGGAAATCAAAAGCTGTTCATGGAAGGGAAAAGGATCAGTAACAAATGGGTACCCTAAAGGGTCAAGAGTCATATTAATATTGTAATAATTGAAAATATTCAAATTCTTGTAAATGTTTCTCTCCTAAGCTAAAGATATTAACCAAAGAAAGGAATTTTTTGTTGTTCTAAAGAATTTTAACTCTGTTTTAGATCTTATCTCAGCTGGAATGCTGCTTGGCTAATTCCCTGCATGTTAACATTTCAAACACATGATAAGATTTATCTCTCCAAGGTACTGTGAACTCCAGCTGGGCATTAAAGGATATCATCAGTGCCATTCATTAGTCCTGGTTTTGAAAAAAAAAAGTTGTTAGATCTGTATTTTTATAATCTCAGTAGTTTCATTCTCATTTTTTAGTTGCACTGTTTGCTCCTTTTGTTCCAAATTTAAATACATTTCTCTCTTTTAGACTATTAATTTTCCAGTTACCCATTTTATTGCCCTAAGTAGTTGTTAGGTTCTTCTAAAGGGATGACACTTAACATGAAATATGTAGAAAAAATATATAACTCAAAAGTCCAGAGCTGAAATCCAAGGAAGAAGGATGTAGGTAAAAGCCAGTTAAGACAAGATGGCCTGGCCCAGTGCCGTGGCTCATGCCTGCAATCCCAGCACTTTGGGAGGCCAAGGCAGGTGGATCACTTGAGGTCAGTGAGACTAGCCTGGCCAACATGATGAGATCCCGTCTCTACTAAAAATACAAAAATTAGCCAGGTGTGGTAGCGGGCACCTGTAATCCCAGCTGCGTGGGAGGGTGAGGCAGAAGAATCGCTTGAGCCGGAGAGTCAGAGGTTGCAGTGAGCCGAGATCACGCTAGTGCACTCCAGCCTGGGCGACAGAGCGAGACAGTCTCAAAAAATAAAAAGACAAGATGGCCTGAAAAGCACCTTCACCAAAGACTTATGTAAATGTAAGCCAATGGTAAGTTTCTAGTGACTCAGCACTCCCTCTCCAGGTACAGTGAGGTAAAGACCCTTACAAATGAAGATTTCTTTTGTAGATGTAAATTTCTTTTATAAATAGCCAACTAAATGACAGAAAGCTGTATTTTGGACACTGATTTTGTTGAATGGGTGGTCTTTTTATGTTCACTTTTGTTAGCTTAAAAATTACTGAGTTCAGCTGGGAAAGCCCATTAAGAAAAAGGGCAAAAAAAGCATAATATATGTGTGGACTCAGCATGGATAGCTCTGATAAAGAAGCAAGCCTGAAGGGTTACCCCTAGGTTAAAGACCTCTTCTAAAAAAGAAGGGTTTGAAAGAACAGCCCAAATAAAATGTACACCTTCAACCAAAGAGTGGTATAGGTCCAGATTATTAGTAGGACTTTTGTCCAATAATTTATCTTGGAATTGGAAGAACATGAGAGTTTCATAGTTGGCCAGGTGCCAAGTCCAGGAATGGCTAAGGG
This sequence comes from Homo sapiens, assembly GCF_000001405.40. Classification (NCBI taxonomy): domain Eukaryota; kingdom Metazoa; phylum Chordata; class Mammalia; order Primates; family Hominidae; genus Homo; species Homo sapiens. The sequence goes on from NC_000010.11 coordinate 48,384,807, forward strand.
TGGCTTACTGTGAATCCTGCTCACAGTGCCAGAAATGTCAACCTAAAGGGAAGAAAATGAGGCATAGTTAATACAGATAATGTATTTGGGCCAAGGTTGAGGACTGCAGCCTAGGACACACTTCCAAGTGGTCTTGGGGAGTGCTCCAGAGAACAGAAGAGAGGCTCATATTTTTAGAGAAAAAAAGGATGAATCAGGAAAGGGATTGATTGCAAAAAGGTATTCATCAGGAATTCTTGTTGGTTTACAGAAATAACATTGGTTATTTATTGTCTATACATTGTTGAACTATAGTGTATATGGCATTTTATGACTACTTGGGGTCAGTTAGTCTAGAGCTTCCATAGCATGTGGCTTCAAGAGGTAATTATTTAGCTCAAGGGGTAGTGAGACATGACTACTGTACATTTAAAATGCCTCTCTGGGCCTGATAATTTAAAGGGGCTCGAATTCCATAGAGCAAAAGTTTTTTTTGTTTTGTTTTTCATAACCCTCATGTTTAGTTAACATTGCTGACATTCATGAATCAAAAAACCCAAACCACAAAAAAACAAGCTATTTTTATTATCACTTCTGCTACCTAGCATGTCAGGCAGTCATGTTATGTTTAAATTGCCTTCAAATGGTTTCAGGAACTTTTCCCATATGTATGTTATTGAACCACTCCAGAAAATCGTAAATCCCTTTTGTAGAGGAAGAGATGATTAGACGAGAAATACTTAGTGTCTGGCACAGATTTATACAGAAAAAAATTTTTGTTTTTAGTTTCTGGTCTTTGTTGTTACTTTGTTGGTAGTAAAAAATGAGTTTTTTTTTTAATTAGCCAGGCTTTAGGCCTTATCCAGTGAAGGACAACTTGAAGATGAGATAGAGCATAAAATTCAAGCTATTTCTAGAGATTGATACAGGTTCATTAGCTGGACAATTAAACTTTTTACTTGTCTTGCAAGTCTTCAACTTAGATTTGTCATATTTGGTTATCATAATCAAATGGAAATAGTAGTTTTTGCCCCATCTTGCTGAGCTTTTAGATTTTGAGATCATTTGTAACATACTCTGAAATTCAGTGAATTTTATTTTTTTCTGCTGGGGGCAGGCACATTTAATTACAGAAAGCCATTTGCCATGGAATCTTTTTTTCTAAAAACTACCTAGCGTTAAAAAAAAATCTGATCATAATTACGTTGCTAGCAAGATAAACTAGCAATAAGTATATGTGGTATCAACTAATATGAAAAAAATTATCTGTAAAATGCATCTGGGACACTTCTCATTTGCTATTCTTAATTTGCAGTTTTAGGAATTGTCTCGTGGTGGTTGAATGTGATCAGCATTTTCTTTTATGAGCCTGGGAGTCTTATTAGTGAAAGATTTGGCAAAAGTTAGAAGAAAATGTCAGGCATTCGGGTCTTCTCAAGGAATGAGATTTTTCAGTATGTAACCAATTTTTTTGGATAGGCAAAGATTTAACCCAAGTAGTACACTGTACAAAGGTGCCTTTAAAACTCAGCATTCTTTCTTGTGTAAAACCTCATAAAAATTTTATGGAAATTTATGGGTATCAATTTTTCTTAGATTTAAAATTAAAATAGCTTTTGAGTACCTTGGGAAATAGTATATTCTTACAAAGTAGATGACCTATTTATTCAGTTGAATGTCCTTGTGAAAATTGACGTTGCTTTACTGACACTAATAATCTACATGCAGTTGAGCAAGCCCAGAAGCCAACTTTGGAATATTTTGAAATGTTTACCATTTTGAGTACAAAGTAATTTTAGAATCTTGGATACCAGCTCACTGAAGTGTTATGGTAATATCATACCCATATCATTTCCGTTACTTATATTTGTTATTGTTTAAACAGTAGCCAAAAATGGCCAGGCACGGTGGCTCACATCTGTAATCCCATTACTTTCGGAGGCCAAGGCAGGAGGATTGCTTGAGACCAAGGAGTTCAAGGCCAGTGGGCCATATAGCAAGACCTCATCTCCATTGAAATATATATATTTTAAAGTAGCCAGAAACATGTACTTACTTTACTGCCAAGGATATGGCTGTAAAGTCTTGAGATCTTTAATAAATAACTTGAATGTCTGAATGACTTGGAAACAAGTTCTGAATTAGCTTACTGATTTCATGTGTCTGGCGCTATTTAGCTAAATCCACCCTCCTCAAAATGTAGAAATTGTTAAGGGACAGTTTCTTGTTGAGACAGTTTCTGTCTTAGCATCATTTTGTGGTTAGAATGTAGTAAACCTACTCAAATAAGCCCAATTAAGAATTAAATCTATTTTATGAATAGGTCTTTAAAAACCCAATTGCAGAACTACAAACCAGGCCTCTTTCTCCCCTTTGTGGGTGGGGGTCAGATTCTCCTAGAAGAGAGGGCAAACTAGGTATGATTAGTATACCTGCTAGAAAGAACAGTTAAGTGGCCAGGGCAAACAAAGTTGTCTCTTGGCTGTAATAATTTTTTTCTGGACTCATGGGCAACTAAAGAAACATGCTAATTATACTGATGCTTAAAGGATTTGCCCTCTATTACGGAGGGTCTGTGGGAGTAGAACTGTAACCTCTTCTTTATAAGCGAGTAGTACAGAAAAGGGAGAAGGAGAAAGAAGAATCCTAAATATGGAGGGGAATCATCTGGAAAGAGCTCAGATTAATTTTTATAAAATTGTGTAAGATTTTATAAGATTATATATTTTTATAAGATTATAACCTCTTCCTGGAAGCCTCATTTTTAAACTGCTTATGGTAGTGACATTTTATTATACATGAATTTAACTTTTGAATATCCAGCTGTACCTGTCTTGACAGATAAAATGACAGTTTCAGTAGTACAGACAATTCTGCCCATCCTAGGAAGCTTATGCCCTTGCAGATGAGAATCTGCTGTTCTCTCTTAGTTTGTACATGTCTCCCGTCAGATGAGCATGTCATATGTAGTGTAAATACTTTAAATAAAATCATGGCCCTGAATGTTATTGTACTAAATGTTACATTATGATTTAAGGAGATTTTCGGGGTAATTTTGACTATGTCAGTTTTGTGGATTATTTGGAAGAGTGGAATTTTGTGCACTCTGGGCTCGAGTCTAAAGTTAGTGTGTAAAGCCAAAGTCAGAATCACCCTTGAAAGTTCCTCAACTCATAAAAGCCAATATGAAATCTTTTGTGTACATATACACTCTTGAGCATTAATTCTTACACACATTTAAATTGGAGAGTGACTAAGCTAGACTGAAAGGCAAAAGGAAAGTATACAGGTGTTGTATATTCATTCAGCTTTAAACATGGTATAGGTAGGGAATTCTAAAATGTTCCTTCTTGCCTGCCAGCTTTACTTCATTTTGTTTTAATAATAAACTCTAGAATCTTAATTCTTACTAATCGTGTATTTGTTGTGGGAATTTCAGGAGCTCGTTAGCCTCACCTTTCTGTGAGATAGCTTCTGAAATCAGTTGGCTAAATTCTAAGGTTAGCCATTAAGTAGGTTTATGATAAAACTTTGTTTTATTGTAGTTTTCATTATTTCCCTTTTCTTTTGCTTTAGTATTTTAGTAACATCACTTTTAAGATGTTACTCATCTCAAAGGAGGCAAAGGAAGAGATTTGGTATCAAGTCCTTCATTCAACTAAAGTAGAAAGAGAGGGAAGTAGTATGCCCCTCTAGGCTGGTGGTTGCTGTGGGAATCAATGTAAAAACCCCTTTAAGAGGATAAAAATGGGACAGTTAACTGGAAACTTACCAATGAGACATTCTCTTTCTAGAGCTTTTTCTTTTCTAGCATGTTCCCCCCAGTTTTAAGAAGATAACCCACACTCTTATCTGTTTCTTCAGTATATAATCTCAATTGTGAGATTACAAAATAATTTCTCTTTAATAATATGCCCAGGTGAGAATGGGAGTAAAATTCTGGTTTTCTTTATTTGGTGCTAGTGTCAGCAGTGACTGAAACATAGGCTGTCTCAGTCTGGGCCCTGTAGTACAATGCTCAGACCTAGGCTGGCTTACTCTTCATATGGCTCTACTACCTTAGTATAGAGGAGGAACCGTAAAGTCCAAGATTGGGCACTTCATTCACACCACTTAGTAGGCAGTCTCCTAAGGAAAGAAGAAAAGTGTATGTCCGGAGAGACATAAATGGCTAGTCAGCCATAGTTTTTTGGGGGGAAAGGAGGAAGGGGAGAGTACCCTAGGATGCACCCTATATTTCACATATTGTTTCTACTACTTTTGGTTAAATTGTAGACAAGTCTGTTGTTGGAATAGGCCTTCTTAGTGCAGGACATAGTGGTATTTCTGTATTAATTACTTAAAATATAGTTGAAAAATGAACTTTGAGAATACCTAGAACTGAAATAGATGCATTTGTATGGTGGCAGCTGAGATCTGATCTAAAGGCCAGTTGAGGGCTAATAAGGAGTGAGGTTAAATTTAAGCTTATTACTCTTTTAGGAAAATGATGTGAGTTAGGGTTGAGGCCAAGAAATTCTTACTATATTCTGAAAGTAGTGAGACTTCATTCGTTAGAGCTAACCTCATAGTGCTCACTATGAGCACTCACCTTAAAGGTTATTATCTGCCTCTTGAAGAAGCACTTACTCAGCGGATCCTGTAACATGTGGTTCTGCCACTTTGTCCATAACTGATTAGACCAGGGCAAGCCTCTGGCTCAAGGCTAATGGCTTATGAAGTGGCCTGGTATGAAAACTGCATAAACAGCAATAACAAGATTAATCATCTTTCTCTTTCTCTTTCTCTCCTGTAAACTACTCCTTGAGAGGAGAAAGACAGGCAATTCATAATGGGAATTTAAAATAACAGTTTGTTCACTTGTTCATTGGTTCATTCAACACTTTTTTGAATGTCTGCTGTTAGCCAGGTACTACTCAAGGCACTGGTGATTTATTCATGAACAGAACAAAATTCATGCTTTCATGGAACTTGGGTTTGAGTGGGACAGATAATAACCATGTACTAGAATGTTAGCAATGGTAAGTGATATGAAGAAAAATGAAGTGGGTTGAGGGGAGAGAGTGTGCTTAAAGGGGAATTTAGATAGGCTAGTCAAGTAAGGCATCTCTGAGGAGCTGTATTAAGAGATTTATTATACGGAATTAGTTCATGTGGGTATGGAGGTTCATAGGTCCCAAGATCTGCAGCTTGCAAGCTGAAGACCCTGGATAGCTGATGGTGTAGCACCAGTTTGAGTCCAAAGGCCTGAGAACCAGAACACCGAATGTAGTTTCAGTCCAAAGGCCAGTAGGCTCAAGATCTAGGAAGAGCTGATGTTTCAGTTTGAGTCTAAAGGCAGGAAAACACCAATGTCCAAGCTCAAGGCAGGCAGGAAGAGTTCCCACTTATTCATACTTTTTGTTTTATTCAGGGCTTCTACTGATTGAATGAGGCCCACCCACATCACAGAGTGCAGTCAGCTTTACTCAGTCTGTTTATTTATATAAATGTTAAAATTATCCAAAACACCTTCACAGAAACACCCAGAATAATGTTTAACCAAATATATGGGCACCCTGTGTCCTAGGCAAGTTGATGCATAAAATTAACTGTCATAGATAGGTCTATTGGTAGCCAAAGAACCAGGTTAAGTAAAAATAGATAGGCTCTAAGTTACCTCAGTGACTTATTGCCAGGATTGCCTGATGATTACAGCTGTCTTAAATTCTGAACCTTGTTGTATTACCTGAATTATTTTCCAGGGTCTCTAAAGTCTGGCTATATGGTTGCATTGAACTTATTCTTTTCTCCTTAAGTATGTTTTATGTAACTAGTTTAACCTGTGTGTTTCTACATTCAGGCTTGACAGCCTAGCCATTTTATGGACGGGGCGGAGCGGGGGCGGTCAGCCTGATATATAAAGATATCACAGAAATAAACCTTGAGTCATAAAAACCTAATATAGCCGCCCCCCTTTACTAATGAAGAGAAACACTGGTAAAGACACATGAAACAATTTATTAAGTAATTTGTTACTTTAAAAAGATTTACATTTTGGTTAACTTTTTTAGCAGTTGTTTGTTCTAACTCTGTGAAGAGCCTGTTTTGGAAATCTGAAAATGTAGGAGATGCAGCTATTGTCCTCAGAAAGACCATAGTCTGATAATAAAATCTGCATAAGTAAATATACAGCAAAGTAGTTTAGATGAGAATTTAGGTTAGAGCTGGTTTGAATGGAAAAGGCTTATGAAGATCACATTTAAGCTAGTCTTAGACAAAATTTGGATAGATACAAAAGAGTGTTAAAAATATTTCATGAAAGGGAAAGGGAAATGAACAAATGAGATACATCAGAGTTTGGGGGATGGTAGTTTAGCTGTGTTGACATGGTTGTAGTCTTCTTGCTGTAGGAGTAGTAACAGGTGAGATTTGAAAGTTAAAGCCGAACCTCAGTATTTCCATACTTTTGGTTGCACATTAATTCTTTTGAGCCTCAGATTATTCCATCTGTTAACTGGGATAATAATGCCAATATTTGTTCATATGTTTTAATCAGTTACATCTAAATTCTATAACAAGAGTTCCTTTGTTTTTAATCTCAGAAGCCTTCTAAGTAGGGAAATGAGTCATCAGAAACCATGGCATTTCCTTCTCACACATACTCTTGCTGTTCAAGCTTCATGATGGAGAGATCAGTATATCAAATGCATCCTCTATAAATCTCACCAGTATCCTTAATGCCCTTATCTTGGTGAATGTGGAAAAACTCAAAGTGCTTTTTTTCTGTTCTCTCAACACAACAATCACAGAAGACTTATGTGATCAAATGTTGCATAGGGGGAGTTCCCCACACACCAAGCAAGCGATCAGTTTTGCAGCAGATGCCTGCTAAGTGTCTTCCAATTCCATTCTGACACTAGTTACCTGGAGATAGCATGAGATCTCACAAGTCGAGGGCCCAGTCCCCTCCCACCGCCACCAGATACCAGTCTCAGGTCTGGAACTTCTGACTGGCTCCAAGTTGAGGTTCCCATGCCCCTCTCTTTGGGTTAGATTAATTTGCTAGAGCAGCTTTACAAAACTGAGGGAAACACCTTTACCAGTTTATTATAAAGGATATTACAAAGGATGCAGATAATGAGATGCATAGGGTAAGGTATGGGGGAAGGAACACAGAGCTTCCAGACCTTCCCAGGGCACGCCATCTTCCAGAATCCTCCACGTGTTCAGCTATCCGAAAGTTCCCTGAACCCTGTCCTCTTGAGCCTTTCATGGAGATTTATTGGATAGGCATGATTGACAACCATGTGGAAATGGGATTGGACAAAAAGGGTATAATCTAATACTAACAGGCCGAGTGGAGAAACCCACAAGCCTGTCTGTCCAAATTCTTCTTAGCCTTTCTGTGCAGCATTCCTTTCTCAAGGGTGTGGGACAGGACCACTTCTGAAATGAGAGTCTTATGACCTGCAGTCAGAAAGGCAGGGGAAGATTAGACTCTTGCCTTGAGCTGGTGAAAGGAGGATGGGAAAATCAGAGAGAGAGATTCTGTTTTCTGAGGCCTGGAGCACCCCAACATCATAACCAAAGTCTGTAACAAGGTATATGGGAGTTAAGAGCCGGGAGCTGTGGATGAAAACCTATATATATGTTCCCTATATATACAATACATAGAATTATATATATGTTATTATCTAATATGTAATAGATATATAATATCACACTTGGAAATTGCACTTTTTCTCAGTCTTTTGATGATACTTTTTTATGGTAGTGACACACTAATATCTCCATCCGTATGGCCACACATGTGCTCTGGATCCCATTCTTTTCTTCCTTTTTGGAAATAATATGCTATCTGAGAAACCTATTTTCTTTCTCATTCCCCCATTCTCACTCTTCCTCTCTTTATTGGATCCTTTTTGTTAGCATATAAACATGTTCAGGTTGTCTCTATGTTATATGTGTTATACTATGCTATATCATATATACTATATAATCTAATTATCCTCCCTTGACCATTTACTCCTCTTTATCTATTTCATCTTTGGTCTTCTTTGTTAAACTTCTCTAAAGAAGTAGCTATATCCAGTTTCCTTATAAATTTCCCAGTTACATGGCAGCTCATTTTAATCTAGCTTCTGCTGCGTTCGCTCTACTCAAATGGCTTATTTGACACCTCTGTTAAAATCAATGCTATTAGCCATTTTGTTCTTTAAAACACTCTCTTCCTTTGGCTTCTTCAGTATGTTCTTGTTTTCTGTCTAGGTCTCTGGCTGCATCTTCTGTGGCTTCCTTGTCAGCTCATCTTTCTCCAGTTGCTCATTAAATGTGGTTGTTATAAAGCTGAATCTTAGGTATCTTTTTACTTAACGACTACTCTTGAATAACTTGTCTCTCATTGCTCCAGTTACAGTGACAACTCCTACATTTATCTTTCACCGAGACTACTCATCTGGGATCCAGTTCTATATCTAGATACCAAATTGATATTTCCATTTGAATGTCTTAAAGTTATCTCAGACTCAACAGGTTTAAGACTTACAACTTCTCTTCCTCCATATTCTCTTTATCTTCAAGATTATATTTTTGGACTCATTGTAGTCCAAAATTTGAAGGACTCAAATTCTCTACCCCTTACATTGTAACCATAGTCAATTAATCATTCTAAGATTCAGTTTCATAATCTGTAAGATGGAAAAAATGTAGTACCTTTCCTAACATAAGGAAACATCAGACAAAATGTGAATATGGGATGTAATACCACGGACTAGATTTACCCTCTAGCTGTAAACAAATAGAAAACCCTCCTAGGGTTGTTTTCAGTATTAAAATAGTATTTACAAAGCCCTTGAAACAGGACCCCATGTAAAGTAAGATTTTTTTAAAGTGTCTGCTTTATTGTTGAATATGGATATGAAGTTGTCAGATGAAGCTTGCAATGATGCTTAAATGCTTATATTATAAAAAGCAGTTCTCAAATCAGTACTTTTAAGATTGCATTTTAAGAAACTAAAAGAAAGAATAGCTCCAAAACAAGCAATGAGAAGAAAATAAAGATAAAATAGGAAGCATTGAAATATAAAAGTGTAAAACATTAGAGAAAAGTAAGAGAAATTAAAATCTTGTTTTTTTGAAAAGATCACTAATAGTGATAAAATTCTAGCCAGACTGATTAGAAAAAAGAAGACACAAATGAGATTAATAGGAATGAAAGAGGAGAGATGAGTATAGATTCTATAGACATTAAATTGGACAACTTAGATTATTAAATGAGCAATTTCCTTGAAAAACACAAACTAACAAAGCCTGTTTAAGAAGAAATAGTTGCCAAACAGCCCTATGTTTATAAGAGAATGTAGATTTATAATTAAAACATTCCCTCAAAAAGAAAACAACTCATCATAGAAGACTTCACTGAGATAGTCTATGAAACATTTAAAGATGAATATCATTTCCATACACTCTTTCTGAAAATAAGAGGGAACACTGTTGCAACTCATTTTATGTCAGCATTACTCTAATATGAAAGAAAACTACAGTCCAGTATTCCTTATAAAATAGATGGAAAAATCTTCAATGAAATTTTAGCTAGCTGAATCAATACATAAAAAGGATAATATTTTATGACCAAGCGGGATTTATTCCATGAATGCAAGGGTGGTTTAACATTTGAAAATCAATCAGTGTAATTAGCCATATGAACCAACTAAGAAAGAAAACTATATGATTATTTCAGTATATTCAGAAAAGTCATTTAACAGAATTAGTACCATTAATGATAAAAACTCTCAAACTAGGATTTAAAGGGAACTTTCTCAACCTGTCTGTCAAAGGACAACTAGTAAAATCCTATAATATATATATCATGCTTAGTGATGAAAGACTGAATGCTTTCTCTCTTAAGATCATGAACAGGCACCACTTCTATTCGGCATTGTATGGAAATTATAGTTAGGGCAGTGGAGCAAGAAAAAGAATTCAAAGGCATTCAAATTGGAAATGAAAAAATAAATTGCTTTTGTATACAGAAAATCCCAATACACAAAAAAAGCCTACTAAGATGAATAAGTGAGTCTATTACAAAATCATTATACAGAAATTCATTGCATTTCTACATACTAGTAATGGGTAATTGGAAATTTAAATACAAACAAATTAAAATAAAAATATTAGCATTCAAAATCTTAATGCTTATGGAGAAGTTAAACAAAATTATGTAAAGCCTGTATGTTAGAAATTATTATACAGGCCTATGGAAACAAGTGTCATGTCTGTGAATCAAAAAACTCAAAATTACTATAATACCATTTCTCCCCAAATTGATGTATACCATAAATGCAATTCTAGTCAATATCTTTGCAGGCCTTTTTTGTAAAAATTGACAAGCTTAGTTCTGATATTTATATAAAAATACAAAGGACCTAGAATAGCTGACAATTTTAAAAAAGAACAAAGTTTAATGACTTAAATTGCCTGATTTTCACACTTACTAGAAAGCTACATTACTCAAGACAGTGTGGTATTGGCCGAAGGATAAACATATTATTAATGGTATAGAAAATAGTTCAGAAATAGGCCCAGACACATATATTTATCTGATTTTCAGCAAAACTGCTAAGGCAATTCAGTGGAGGAAACTGGTAATCTTTTTAACAAATGATTTTTGGACAATTGGACATCTGAATGCAAAACAATGAATCTTAACCTTTAAGTGGGCAATGATTTCTTAGACATACAGAACCAAACTGTGAAAGAAAAAATAAACCAGCTGTACATCATCCAAATTAAAAACTTTTGATCTTCAAAAGTCACTGTTAACACAATTCCTATCAAAATCTTAGCATTATTTTTTGTAGACATGGACAAATTTATTCTAAAATGTATATAGAATTATGAAGTAACTGGAAACAATTTTGAGTAAGAAGAATAGAGCTGAAAAAAATCACACCACTAGATTCTAACTAAGACGTAACATACAGCATTATACTCAGGACACTGTGGTATTGATCAAAAGATAGATCAGTGAAACAGAATTAAAAGTCCAGAAGTAGACCCGTACAAGTAGAGCCAACTGAAGTTTGACAAAGATGCAAAAGTAATTCAGTGGGGAGAAATGATGCTTTTTGCAACAAATGGTATTAGTATAATTAGATAATAACCAAAGAAATAAACTTTGACTTAAAACTCTTATACAACAGTTATCATAGATCTAAATGTAAAGTGTGAACTATAAAACTTTTATAAGGAAACAAAAGAGAAGATCTTTTTGATCTAGGGCCAGGTGAACATTTCTTGTACCAAATCCATAAAGGAGAAAAAAATAATGACTTGGGCTTCATCAAAATTAAAAACTTTTACTCTGTGAAAGACACTGTTAAGAGCATAAAAAGGCAAGCCACAGACTGGAAGAAAATACTTGGAAATCGCATGTCTGATAAATGTGTATCCCGAATATATTTTAAAAGTCTCTAAACTCAACAGTAGGAAATAAGACAATGCAATTAGAAAATGAGTAAAACACTGAACAGACACTTCACCAAAGAGTATATAGATGACAAAGAAGCACATGAAAAGATGCTCAACATGATTAGCTACTAGGAAAATGCAAATTTAAAGCCATGATGAGATATGACACACGTACTAGAATGGCTAAAATTAAAAGTACTGGCAAAACGAAGAGTTGGTAAGAATGTAGAGGAACTAGATCTTTCACACATTGCTGGTGGAAGTGCAAAATGATACAGCACTCTGGAAAACAGTTTGCCAGTTTCTTATAAAATTAAACATGGAGTTACCATATCTTACTCCTGGATATTTACCCTAAAGAATTGAAAACTTATATTCACACAAAAACATGTACACAAAGCCTTAGAACAGCTTTGTCATAGCCAGCAAGGGGTGAATAGATAGCAAATTGTCATACATTCATACAATGAATAATATTCAGTAAGAAAAAGAGCAAGCTATTGATATACCAACACCTTGGAGAATCTTAAGGGCATTATACTGAGTGAAATAGCTATTCAGTTCTTTTCCCTATTATAAAAATACGGCTGTCTTCTTATGAGTTTTAAGCCTATATACATTCCAGATACACATCCTTTGTCAGATGTTTTACAACTATTTTTTTCCCAGTCTGTGGCTTGCCTTTCCATTTTCTTAACAGTGTCTTTTTATTTTGAAATAATTTTAGGCTCACATAGAAGTTACAAAATATTACAGTTTCTGGGTACCTTTCACCCAGCAACAGCATTTGACAAACCATAGTACAACTATCAAAATGAGGAAACTAACACTGGTATAAAACTATTAACCAAACTAGAAATTTTCCTCAGATTTCAAAAGATTTAAAAGATTACTTATGGTAATTTTAATTTGTATAACCTTTTTTTTTTTTTGAGACAGTCTCACTCTGTTGCCCAGGATAGCATGCAGTAGTGCTATCATAGCTCACTGCAGCCTCTGACTCCTGGGCTGAAGTGATCCTTCTGCCTCAGCCTCCCAAATAGCTAGGACTATAGATGTGCACTACTACTGTGGCAGATTTTTTTTTTCTTTCATTTTTTATAGAGATGGGGTCTCTCTATGTTGCCTAGGCTGGTCTCGAACTCCTGGGCTCAAGGAGTCCTTCTGTCTTGGCCTTCCAAAGTGCCAGGATTATAGATATGAGCCACTACTACTAACCTATAACTTTTTAAATGAAAAAAATGATAGTGACAAAGAACAGATTAGTAGTTGCCGCAGGTAGACTTGGGAGGAGTATGTGATTATAAAGGGATGGCATGAAGATGTTTCTTTGAGGTGATGGAATAGTTCAGTATTCTTTTTTTCTTTTTTTGAGACAGAGTCTCATTCTGTCACCCAGGCTGGAGTGCAGTGGTACGATCTTGGCTCACTGCAACCTTCGTCTCCAGGGTTCAAGCGATTCTCCTGCCTCAGCCTCCCAAGTAGCTGGGACTACAGGCATATGCCACCACGCCCAGCTAATTTTTGTGTTTTTAGTACAGACAGGGTTTCACCGTGTTAGCCAGGCTGGTATTGAACTCCTGACCTCAAGTGATCTGCCCTCCTCAGCCTCCCAAAGTGCTAGGATTACAGGAGTGAGCCACTGTACCAGGCCGGAATAGTTCAGTATTCTGATTGTAGTGGAGGTTATACTAATATAAAGTATGTGATAAATTTGTATAGAACTATACACACACAGGGCATGTAAAAACTGGTAAAATCTGAGGAAAGTTTCTAGTTTGATTAATAGTTTTATACCAGTGTTAGTTTCCTCATTTTGATAGTTGTACTATGGTTTGTCAGATGTTGTTGCTGGGTGAAAGGTACCCAGAAACTGTAATATTTTTGTAACTTCTATGTGAGTCTGAAATTATTTCAAAATAAAAAGACATTGTTAAGAAAATGGAAAGGCAAGCCACAGACTGGGAAAAAATAGTTGCAAAACATCTGACAAAGGATGTGTATCTAGAATGTATAGTCTTAAAACTCATAAGAAGACAGCCGTATTTTTACAATAGGGAAAAGAACTGAATAGCTATTTCACCAAAAATAATTACATAAACGGCATATAAGCCCATGAAAAGGTGCTCACCTTCATTAGTTATTAGGAAATGTAAATGTAAACCACCATGAAATACCACTGTACACCCACTAGTATAGATAAAATTAAATGGCAATCCGAAGAATGTGGAACAACTGGACCTCTCACATGTTGCTGGTGCAAATGAAAAATGATATGGCCTCTTTGCAAGACAGTTTGACAATTTCTTAAAAATGTAGGGCTCAGCAATTCCACTCCTAGATAATTAAACGAAGATGAATGAAGAAAAAGTGAAATTCATACCAGCATCATTTATAATAACCCTAAAACTGTAAACAGTTGAAATGTCCAAGTGGTACGTCCACACAATGAAATTTATTCCCTAGTAAAAGGACTCCAGCATGGATGAATCTCAAAATCATTAGAACAAATGAAAGACGCCAAACAAAAATTACATGCTGTGTGATTTCATTTATATGCAGATCTAGAAAAGGCACAATAACCAATTCAGTGGTTGCTAGGAGTTGGGGGGCAAGGGGTAGAGAGTGGAGATTGACCATATAGGGAATGTATTGAAGTAATGGGAATGTTTTATATCATGATTTTCCTGATGATGGTTACGTAATTGTATACATTAATCGAAACTCATCAAATTGTACAGTTGGTACAATTTTTAGGTCCTTTGCATTCGATTTGTTTTTTTCTGCCTAGAAAGCTCTCTCCTCTCCCTGTCTGGTTGACTCATATTCAGTGTTCAGATCTTGCTTAAACGTCATGTTGTCAGGAGTATCTGTTCCTGAGCCCAGACTGGCATAGGCTTCTTTGACATCCTGCCGCTTTCCTTCATTGTCCTTACCACAGCTGTAGTTTCAGTCAGGCAGGTAGCCATCAGCTTAAGGTCTCTTTTTCTGTCCTAGCTGCAACACTGTGAGGAGCCAGATGCTGATTACCATCTTGTTAACAGTACGTAGCATGGTGCTTAAATCAGGTTTGAATATTGCATGACTGAGTATAAGTGAGTAGAGAGTTGTGTGTCTTCTGTTCTTGTAAGTGGCAGCTGTGGCTTCTGCCAAGGGTACTACTAGCTGGGGCTGCCTGCTTAACCTTGGAGCCTGTCTGCCTGCCTCTGCCCTGCTCCTGGGGAGTTGTGACTATCCATGCTCATCTGCCTGCCATAGCCTTTGTTCAGACTTCTTGTCACCGTGAATCCCACTCCTGTGGCCGGGCCACCCTGTTCTGAGAACAGAAAGGAGCTTTTCCTTGCTGTTATTCTTTTAGCAGAAAAGGAAACCTGCCCTACTGCATGCATGTTCCTGGATCTACTCAAGCTTTTTCTTTTTTTCCAGCAAGTGGAGAAACTCTGAAACACAGTGTTTTGTTACCTGCTTTGGTAACAATATATCACCTCCTGTGAAGCACCAGAGTACCCCTTTGTCTCCTGATTATCTTAATCTTTTTGAGAGAGACATATGACTCCTCCAAGTAAGGTTAGGAATCCTAATCTGCAGGTAGTCTGAATGCTTGGGTGGAAGGTTTAACCTTCCCAAAGGTGAAAACACCATCAACTTTGTGCTCAGCCTCTGCTCATATTTGCAGATTATCAGAGATCATTATTACTGTCTCCATGTCCCCCGCTGACCCAGTTTCCAGGATAAATGTGTAGAATAATTAATAAAGGGCTTGACAGCCAACACTCCTCTTCCACTCTTCCCACTTCTCTTCTTCCTTATTTCACTACTGTAGTAGGTAAGAGGGAATTCAGGTTATGGTAGGAAAATGATTAGGATGAACAATCCCTGTATGTGAGCATTGTGTGAACATAGCTCAGTGTTTAAATCATTACCAAAGCTCCTTTCTTTATTATGGGCTGTCCACTTAAGAAGAATTTATGAGTCTTGTCATTTCAGACAGTCTTCCCTGGAGCACTACATGACTAGTCCAGTTAGTGATTTTAGAAATGTTTCTCTGGACCTTTTAAAATGTATCCAAGTCTAATTCCTCATTTGTTTCTAGTTTATTTGTCCTCGGTTTTACAGCTTACATAGTTTGGAGTTTCCTGTTTAGTTTTGTTTATTTTTAACTCCTTTAGGCCTAAGACTCTTCATTGTTTCTCTTTCATCTGAGTCATTATAATAGTCTCTCAAAAGTTCATATTCCACTCTTGCTCCCCCTTTCTCCTGCAGTACAATCTACATGTCGCAGCCAAGGATCAGGTCAAGGCATTCTCATGCTCTCTCCAGTGGCTCACCTTCTTACCTAGTTTGTGATCTGGCCCCAGGACATGCAGACTGCCTAGTAGGCAATTAATATCTGCTGAATTAATTCTTTGTATTGTAAGTCATATCAGGATTTCTTGGGGGTTAGCATTATCTTAAAACCACAAAAAACAATAACTTTAGACCTAATTGGTTTCATGACTTATTGAGGAGGCGAGGAATAGGTTAAAGCTGCTTTGCATACATTTTGGAATAGTCTCTTTTGTCTAGTAAGGATGGATAAGTTTGTTAATAACCAGTATTCACATGGGTAGAAAAAAAGTGTCTTGATTTTTAATCCTACAAGTAGTAAAGGAATGGTAGTCAGAAGTTGAATCGTACTTTTAATGCCTCAGGCAGGATAGAATAGTATTGTTTTGTTTTGTATCCCAATATGCCTAACTACTTCTCTCTCTCTCCTTTCTGTTTTGCTTCTCATCCTTTCACCCATTACAGTCTCAGTATGTGTGTTACACCAGGAGGTTGCCTTGGCAGGTCAGAGGATCTGTCACAGTGAAGGCACTGTGGTACCCTTTGTTTTTTAGGCAAGGATGACACATGCTAGTCAACTTATTTCCATTTGTTGTTCCCTCCACTTGGCACTAAATGAGACTTAACCATTTTTGAATCAAAGTTTATAAATTTCTTACAAAAATTAAGGTTTTTATTCTCTATAATAAGCACATGAGAAAGACTGGTTTTAAATTTTAAACTGTGGAGTGACGTAAAAACATGTTTAATTTTAATTATTTGCTTTCTTTTGTTCGTCTTGTAAGTTATTAATGTATTAATACTGGTAACTTCTAGATTGGAGGAATGATTTATCCTAATGTTTCTTTTTTAAAAAAAACTATCAGTCATTCATATGGCATATGCTAATCAAGGCTCTGCGGTATTTTTTTTCTTATGTTTTTTAATGAAGCAGCTCTTTTCATGATCTAGCAGTCTGTGTTACTATCAGTACGTAAACAGTAAGGACTCAAATTTTAAGATTAAAACAAGTTCATTTTGTTAACATCATGTTTTGTTGCATCTTGCAGCTTCTTGGTGAATTTTTGGATGAAGCCATTAAATTAATTGCTTGCCATCATGAGCAGAAGCAAGCGTGACAACAATTTTTATAGTGTAGAGATTGGAGATTCTACATTCACAGTCCTGAAACGATATCAGAATTTAAAACCTATAGGCTCAGGAGCTCAAGGAATAGTATGGTAAGTGTTTACTTCCAAAAATTAGGCAAAGAATCATTAACTGCTACCTTTTCTCCTCTCGTAATTTAGATACCTTGGCAAATATTTAACTTGCTTTGAAAAATTAAATTAAAACTAAAAATTAAACGAAAACTATTCCACAGTAAATTGTTTGCTTCAGGATCAATGGTCTTTTCTTTATTATTATTATTAAAGGTTGAGTATCCCTTATCTGAAATGCTTAGGACCAGAAGTGTCAGATTTTGGAATATTTGCATTGGTTGAGCATTCCAAATTCAAATCAGAAATACTTCAGTGAACATTTCCTTTGAGCATCATGTCAGTGCCCCCAAAATTTAGATTCTCGAGCATTTTAGATTTCATATTTTCAGATTTGGGATAATAACCTGTATTATTCATAAGATACAACTCTATAAACTAGCACTGCCATCTTTAAGTATAAACTATGATTAAATACTTGGGCATAGCCATTGAAGACAAATATCTCTATCAGCAAAGAATAAGTGGCATGCTTGTTAATTTCATGTATACATGTATTCCCATAGATAATTGTTTAATAAGAAGCTTCACTTAGTCATCACTTTCACACTATAATGAAGCGTGGAATTTCAGAAATCTTATTCTATACTGGGGAATGAAGTCAGCTAATATCTCACTGTGTGTGTTTCAAAATTCATCCATATGTTTAAAATTGATTTATTAGCTAATTTCTACAAAAGCCTCAGGCTATATCAGCATAATTCTTTATAAACTGAAATGCAGATCACTCTTTGGGATAGTTCTGATACTGATTGCAGATCACTAAATTAGCATAATAATAAACTAGTGTTTTGGGGAATTATAAGCCTCACTCAAGAATAATTATATTTTTATTACCTCTTCTTGAAACAAATTTCAGAATCTATTCTAAACAAAATGTAAACTGTTAAGTATTTATAATCCAGTATTTCTCCTAGGTTCTAAAAAAACTGTTTTACATGTGCACAGGGAGTCATGCATAGGATTGGTGTTTGCAGCACCATTTATAACAGCAAAAATTGGAAATAGCATCAAATCTATCAACAGAAGAATAAAAAATTGTGATACAGTCATGCTGTGAAATACTATATAACATTTTAAACGAACTGGAGCCATATGTGTCAACAAGGATAACCTCAGAAATGTAGTGCTGGGCTTCAAAGCAAGATGTAGAATATATATATACATCATTATACCATTTACATGTAGCTTAAAATATGCAAAGCAGTACCATATATTTATGGATTATATATATGTACAAAAGATTAAAACATGCATAAATACCAAACTTAGGATGTTGTTTATCTCTGAGAAAATAGAGAAAAGAAAGGAGGTTTGACCTATAATATTATATTTCTTTCTAAAAAATTCAGAGCAAGCCGGGCGCGGTGGCTCACGCCTATAATCCCCGCACTTTGGGAGGCCGAGGTGGGTGGATCATGAGGTCAGGAGTTCAAGACCAGCCTGGCCAACATGGTGAAACCCTGTCTGTACTCAAAATACAAAAATTAGCTGGGCATGGTGGCACATGCCTGTAATCCCAGCTACTTGGGAGGCGGAGGCAGGAGAATAGCTTGAACCCGGGAGGTGGAGGTTGTGGTGAGCTGAGATGGTGTCACTGCACTCCAGCCTGGGTGATAGAGTGAGACTCCGTCTAAAAAAAAAAAAAAAATCAGAGCAATTATGGTAACGTATTAAGATTTAATAAATTTGCATAATAGAATGGCATTTATTATCTTTCCTGCATTCTTGAAGTAATTTACAATATCAAAAATTATAGAAGTTGGAGTCATTTTGTAAGCCGTTTTGACTGGCCTGTTCTCATTGTAACCAACCACATTTAACCAACCATAAATTAAATTTAAAGAAAATCATATTATATAGTCAGTATTAGGATTCTGAAAGCCAGCTCTCTGTTCAGATTTTGTTTTTTGTTTTTTGTTTTTTTGTTTTTTTGTTTTTTTTTGAGACAGAGTCTCACTCTGTCGCCCAGGCTAGAGTGCAGTGGCGTGATCTTGGCTCACTGCAAGCTCCGCCTCCCGGGTTCACGCCATTCTCCCGCCTCAGCCTCCGGAGTAGCTGGGGCTACAGGTGCCTGCCACCACGCCCGGCTAATTTGTGTGTGTGTGTGTGTGTGTGTGTGTGTGTGTGTGTGTGTATTTTTAGTAGAGACAGGGTTTCACCATGTTAGCCGGGATGGTCTCGATCTCCTGATCTCGTGATCTACCCGCCTCGGCCTCCCAAAGTGCTGGGATTACAGGCGTGAGCCACTGCGCCTGGCCCTTCTGTATTTATTTTATTGTGTCCAAAAGGATAGAAGTAATGTGTTTACATAGAATTATTCAGCAAATCTTTTGAGTAGAATTTATATGCTTTTTTTTTTTTTGAGGGAGTCTACCAGGCTGGAGTGCGGTGGTGCGATCTTGGCTCACTGCAACTTCCGCCTCCCAGGTTCAAGTGATTCCCTTGCCTTAGCCTCTCAAGTAGCTGGGACTACAGGTGTGCACCATCACACCCAGCTAATTTTTTTGTATTTTAGTAGAGGCGGAGTTTCACTGTGTTGGCCAGGATGGTCTCGATCTCCTGACCTCATGATCCACCCACCTTGACCTCCCAAAGTGCTGGGATTACAGGCGTGAGCCACTGCACCCAGCCTCGTATGCATTCTTTATCCTACCTTTTCTTGATGGAAGTACAAGGTTAAGGATTTATTTAGGCTTTAGGCTATCTAGTGGAGCTAAATAATTATGGATTTGTACATTGAGTGCCCACGATGTACTAGGTGGATCTTTGAGGCAACACAACGAACATGCAGGGTCTCTGTTGGCATAGTCCACTGTCTATTTGGATCCATTAGCATTTTAGGAAATAGTTGCAAAAAAATATATGTTGTAATAGATATAGAAGACACATGTTGAGCGTCATAGACTTGGAAGGGATCCAGTTACTTGTCTTTGGAGAAAGTGAGAAATGTATATGACTGTTTCATGAATTCAGTTTACAGATTTTTGCTTGAAGTTTTTTTGTGTGTTTTTGAATTTCTTATTACAGCGCAGCTTATGATGCCATTCTTGAAAGAAATGTTGCAATCAAGAAGCTAAGCCGACCATTTCAGAATCAGACTCATGCCAAGCGGGCCTACAGAGAGCTAGTTCTTATGAAATGTGTTAATCACAAAAATGTAAGTGAACATTTTTGGTTTCCTAAGTATAGATGAAATCAAGATTTATTCATGAATATGTGAATATCAAAGACTAAATATTAGGGGCTTTAAATTGTTCTGTATTAAAACATTGTTTAAAAGGGATATATATATATATATATATATCTACAGGGTGATTTTCCTCAACTTTATTAAATTGTATCAGAAGAATGGCTTCTAAAATTTAGATTATATGATTTCCTGTCATTTAATTTACAAAAGGAGTTTTAAAAAGATAAGCGTTTGAGAAGAATTTTATTCAGCTTGATCTCATCTTCTGCTTTTTGTTCTCCGTCAGGCTGACATTTAGAAAACTGTAGCATTAGCACAGAGATGAAATTGTTCCCATTATGCTTTGACACTCTGACTTTAATCATATTGAATATAAAATTTATATCACTTCTCCCTACCCCACTCCCACCTCTTTAAGTGATGGCAGTATTCACTGATCACTTTATGATGAGGATAGTGGGTTTAGCAGAAAGTGTTTGAAACTATCTAGAGGGTATTAACATGTTTCTAATTCTATTTTCTAATGATTGCAAAGATAAGTCTTTATAAAGATATATAAGTTGCACTCATTTTGAGAATAAACAGTTATACTTTTTTAAACTTACATTAAGCTTATTCATACTTTTGTGATTGTTCTAATGGAATGATTTCTTCAGTTGAGGAAATAAACTAGGAGTGAATTGTGTAAGGGACACTTTTAGGCAGTCCTAAACCGAAGGCATCTGACTAAAGACATTTCGTAGTGTTTGTCCAAAAGAGTTTATATAATATAATGAGCACAGTACCTTCTGACTACAGATAATACAATTTACCACATTTTGAGATCTAAATATGTGCAGGCCTCTGTGTATTGGAGTTACTGGGTTCATTATCAAGGGAAAAAAAAATCATGGAAGTTCAGGATTAGGCCCTTTATTTGGGGAGCTTACAATGGTGTTTTGAATACAAAACAGACATACAGAGAGTTAAATATCAAACATCACAAAGCAGTGGCCGTTTGTCAAATGATGATGGTGGCCCATATATTGAAATCTAAAAAGAGGGACGATTTCTGTGAGCTTTAATTAACTGGGAAGGCTTTGGGGAGGAGTAGACCTAGGCTGACTCTTAAAGATGGGGTAAAAATTGGATTGTTGAAGGAAAGGAGCCTTCAGAGAGGAAGAATGACGTAAAAAAGGTCCAGAGACAAAGATTAAACTTAGATAATAATAGGGAGGAAGTTGTGGTAGCCATTCTTGTTCCAAGCGGGAACTTGATGTGTTGCTCATCACAGTTTTGCTGGTGGCATCCTGTCCATGGATAGAGCTGCTCGTGCCCCTTGTGGCCTGTGAACGCAGTTCCATGGCAGTGGTGGTGTTGCCTTAGTTTTTCCTTGGGGAGGAGTTCAGTTAATCCTACCTCTCAAGCCTGGGTGACTGCAAAGAAAGGTGGTTCCTTCAACTGCATGGAGTATGACTAAGCATGTCTCACATGATTAGGCCTCTAGCAGGGGTGGCAGAGGTTTATCCAGGCAGAACTCTCAGCACCTAGAAGAGTGTGGACAAGAGTAGGTACTCAGAATATATTTGTTCAGTGAGTGAGTATAAAGCTAAATATGGGAAAACTGGAAATGGTAACTGAATTATTCCACTCACCCATGGATGGATGTTTTTGTAGTGTTTTGCCTTTTAAACAATTTCATCCTCTGTACAGATTGTCTCTTCACTGGTCTAAGCATCTCTGGTTTTTCTCATTCTTTTCATAGATGGTCTTGAGTTTCTTTTTTAATCTTGGCCGTTTATCTCTGAACACACTTTGAAAGTGACCTAGCACACACTACTGCATAAGCCACCTAGCACACAGTACTGCACGTCTGATCAAATCCTCTGAGAGGAGCTGAGGCATGTCATCTCTTAACTGTAGACATTAAAACCCTGTTTAGAAATTTCGTCCCCATCTGACTCCCGTTGTCTTTCTTTGTTACAGGCCTGCCTTACAGTTCCCATCTCACCCAGTCTTTATATTTTTTCTTTTGATTATGGAGAATTAAGTATAGTACTTCATGTTTCTCCCTATTAAATTTCAAAGGTGAAATGTGGTTGCTCTTCCTGGTCTACTAGTGATTGCTGTGATTGCTTTTTTCTTCCTTGTTCTGACTTTTCACTTGTGGGCTTCACTTCCCAGTTTTGCTCAGGATATCTTTGTAATAGCTGGATTAATTCATTAGCAACTTTTGAGCATATTGCAGAAATTACGTGTCTAACTATCACAGTTATCCAGCTGTTTCCAATTCATCATCTTATTCACATGGATGTTATTATTAGAAACATTTTGTAAAATGCCATTTTGAAATCTTCATATACTGTGTCTGGTTGCATTTTTCTGATTTATTGCTATTGTTCTTTGTTGTTTTTATTCATGGAAGGAAATAGTATTTCTCAATGAACTTTTACCTGCTCTTGGTAATTGTTACTTCTTTTGAAGTAGTTATATACCACTACTAATCATTGACTTTTGCTTGGCTGTCCAGTCTATAACTGATATAATTTCCTTTATTTCCCTTTTTGAAAAATGGGACAACTATCTGTTTGAATCTCTTTTATAACAGCTTTATTGAAATATAATTTCTGTGTCATGCAATTCACCCATTTGAAGTATACCATTCAGTGGTTTTTAGTATATTCAGTGATATGTGGGACCATCACTACAGTCAGTTCTAGAATAATTTTATCACCTCAGGATAAAAGAAAGAAATCTTTTATCCTTTAGCTGTCATTCCCCTACCTCCCATCCTTCTCAGTTCTAAACAACCACTAATCAATCTTCTTTCTGTCTCTATATGCCTTTAATATTTAATACCTCTCTTCTACTCTAGGGCTTCCCAGATATTAATGAGAATAGATTTAGTATTTGTCCAAGTCTCCTATTGTGCATTGCATGCGGTTGGTAGACTTGAACTTATTTAGAGCAGCCAGATGCTTTCTTATTATCATTTCCCTCTCTTAAATTTGTTTGGCCCTTTCTGGTGTATTATTTTTCCGAATTTATTCACTGAACAAATATTTAAATACCTTATGTAAAGCTGAATGCTTAAAAGAAAAACATCAATTCTGCCCTTATAAAGTTTATGCCTAAAAAACAAATTCCCATCCCCAAGTATCATCGTCAGCAAACATTTTTATATGTGTGTCATGTAACTTGCCATATACTAGGCAGTAAAAGTGATTAAGACACAGTTGTTTCTAATAAGGATTCTCTGTGGTAGGGATGAGGCTGATGTGAAAATGAGACTAGATTACAGTGTGCTGAATACCATAACAACATTAGAAGATAACTGGGGACAAAGTAGAGAGAATAGTCAACTCTGTCAAGAACTAGGAGTTGTCAGAATCTACAAAAGAGGTTCACCTGGAAGATAATTAAGTTGAGTAGATAAATGACAAGCATAGGGAATAGTATGTTTAAAAGCATCAAAACATTTTAAAAATGACATTCTTAAAACTAGCATAGCTAAAGTATGAAGTGTAATATAGGACTTAGCAGGAGATGAAGTGAGTTGATGGCATATCATGGAGGCTTTTGAATATACTGCAAGGGAGTTTCAGAATATATTTGTTGGCTTTAAATTTTTGAGGAGGTAAGTAATATGATCAGGTCTTTCTTTTACCATATTATAGGCAGTAAATGGTAGCTGGATTTGTAGAAAACCATCGTTAGTGACCCTTAATCAGCTCAGGCCACCATAACAAAATACTGTACACTGGGTGTCTTAAACAACAGAGATTTATTTCTCACAATTCTGTAGGCTGGGAAGTTCAAGATCAAGTTGCTGGTCAATTTGATTCTTGATGAGGGCCTGCTTCCTGACTTGGAGGTGGCCAACTTTTCACCTTGTCCTCATTTGCCTTTCTTCAGTGTGTGCTCAAGGAGAGGGAGAGAAAAATTGCTCTTTTCGTCTTCCCTTGTTTTAGGCCACTAATTCCATTATGAGCGCCCCACTCTCATGACCTAATCTAACCCTTATTACCTTCCAAAGGCCCCATTTCCAAATACTATCACATTGGGTGCTAGGAGTTAAACATATGAATTGTGTGGGGTGTGTGTGTGAGGGACAATCAATCTGTAACACTAGTGTTAGAAGGAATTACAGCATGAACAGTCTAGATGTTAGTCTTCAAGCTGTTTATAGCACAGGGAATGGAAAAAAGAGATTGAAGGTCAGATTGACAGTAGAATGGACAGCATTCTATGAGTATTTATTATGGTGCATATACTGAAAAAGGAGTTAAAAATCACCCTGAGCCTTCTTTTGTAAAAGAGAGGGCACACTGGAAAAGTAAGGGGTTTGGGTAGGAATGAAAATGAATTCAGTGTTACCTTATTTTGTGAGATGTCCATGCAAAAAGTGAAAAGAAATGGGTTAAACACAATAGTGTGAGAAGGGATATGCTTATGGATGAACCAGTGAAATAGACTGGGAATGAAGAAAACTGGGCAAGTGCAGTATTATGAAAAACCAAGGGAGGAAAGGGCTGAGATTATATAGAGATACTGAATTGGAAAAGAACTGGTAGAAGGGATTTAAGATTTGCTGATAAATTATGTAGAGGTTTGTATAATGTAAGTGCTTGATAATTGACTGTTCATAAATGGAATTACAGATAAATGGGTTACAGATACTCTGTGCCTCCACCTATCCATCCCCTCCTCCAACTCCTGCCCATAAAGTTGCAATATATAAAATGAAAGCAATTAACTTGAGCTTAGAATGTAAAGAAAGATTTTAAACTGATGGTAGTTTTTTTTAACTCATGTATTTGTAGTTCCCAAATTAAAATATTATGAAGTAATTTCTAATTTTTCTGTCTCTCGACTTTTATTATAGATAATTGGCCTTTTGAATGTTTTCACACCACAGAAATCCCTAGAAGAATTTCAAGATGTGTAAGTGTAATAATTAAAATTTTGTTAAGTTAGTACATTTTTCTTAGATTGCTGCTGGACACTTTAGCTGTTCTCTTTTTTCACTCATAAAGTTACATAGTCATGGAGCTCATGGATGCAAATCTTTGCCAAGTGATTCAGATGGAGCTAGATCATGAAAGAATGTCCTACCTTCTCTATCAGATGCTGTGTGGAATCAAGCACCTTCATTCTGCTGGAATTATTCATCGGGTTAGTAGAAGAAACTATCGTCATACTCTTTGTTTTCTCATTGAGGTGAAATTCATGTAACAAAATTAACCATTCTAAAGTGGCATTTTTAGTACATTCACAGTGCTGTACAACTACCACCCATATTAAATTCTAAAATATTTTCATTACCCCCAAAAAAGTCTCCATGTTTCTTAAGCAGTTGTGCATCTTTGCCCTGGCATGATACCAGTCTGCTTTCTGTGTCTATAGATTTGCCTTTATGTTTCCATTTATATGAAATACGGCGTGATGTTTTCAAGATTTCTCCATGTTTACCGTGTATCAATAGTTCATTCCTTTTTATGACTGAATAATATTCTATATACCATATTTCGTTCATCCATTCATCCATCGATGGACATTTGGGTTATTTCTACCTTTCAGCTATTATGGATCGTGCTATGAAAATTCAAGCACAAATATTTGTTTGAATATATATTTTCAGTCCTTTAGGATATACCTGTGACTGGAAGTGCTGAGTCATATGGTGATTCTATAGTTAACTTTCTGAGGAACCATCAAACTGCACAGTGACTGCACTATTTTACATTCCCACTAGCAGTGTATGCGGGTTCCAGTTTCTTCACATCCTTGTCAGTACTTGTTATCTGACTTTTTAAATTCTAGCCATCCTAATGGGTACGAAGTGGTGTTTCTTGTGATTTTACTTTGCATCTCCCTAACGACTAATAATGTTGGGCATTTTTCATGTGCTTGTGGCCATTTGTGTATCTTCTTTGGAGAAATGTGTATTCAAGCCCTTTGCTCATTTTTAAATTGGGTTGTTTGTCTTTTTGTTGTTGTTTTAGCATTTCTTTATGTATTTCATACATGAAACCTTTATCAGGTATATAATTTGTAAATATTTTCTCCCATTCTGTAGGTTGTCTGTTCACTTTGCTGATGATTTCCTTTAATGCACAAAAACTATAATTTTAATGAAATACAATTGTTTATTTCATCACTTGTGCTTTTGGTATCATGTATAAGAATCCATTGTCAAACCCATGGTCATGAAGATTTAGTCTTATGGGCTCTTCTAAGAGTTTTATAGTTTAAGTCTCACATGTAGGTCTTTGATCTATTTTGAGTTAATTTTTTGTCTGGTATGAGGTAAGGTTCCAACTTCATTCTTTTGTATGTGGCAATTTAGTTGTGCCAGCACCATTTGTTAGAGACTACTCTTAACCCATTGAATGGTCTTGGCACCCCTGTCAAAAAACAGTTGGTCATAGATACATGGTTTCATTTTTGGACTCTCAGTTCTGTTTCACATAGCTCCTATGTGCCTGACCATGTATTATACTAGTACCACATTATTTTGATCACTTTTAGCTTCGTAGTAACTTGAAATGGAGAAGTATCAATTCTCCAGCTTTATTCTTTTACAATATTGTTTTAGCTTTTCAGAGCCCTTTGTGATGCCATATGAATTTGAGTATCATTCTATTTCTGCAGAAAGGGCAATTAGAATTCTAATTAGTATTTCATTGCATCTGTAGATTGCTTAGGTAGTTTTGCCATCGTAACAATATTTAGTCTTCCAATTCACAAACATAGGATGTCTTACCATTTCCTTCCTTCTCTTCTTTTTTCTTTTCTTTCTTTTCTCTCCTTCCCTCCCTTCCCCCCTCCCTTCCCCTTCCTTCCTTTCTCCACCCTCTCCTCTCTTCCCCTCCCCTCCCCTCCCCTCCCATTTGTCTTGTCTTGTCTTCTCCATTCTCAGCTCACTGCAACCTCTACCTCCTGGGTTCAAACAATTCTCCTGCCGCAGCCTCCCAAGTAGCTGGGATTACAGGGGCCTGCCCCCACGCCTGGTTAATATTTTGTATTTTTAGTAGAGACAGAGTTTCACCATGTTGGTCAGGCTGGTCTCGAACCCCTGACCTCAAGTGATCTGCCCGCCTTGGCCTCCCAGAGTGCTGGGATTACAGGCGTGAACCACCCCACCTGGCCTCTTTCAGCACTTTAGATGTATCATCCATTGCTATTTGTTTTGCCATGGCTTCCAGTGATAAATCAGCTGTTAAGCTCATTGAGGATCTTTTATAAGTGACAAATGCACCTCTCTTGCTGCTCTCAAGATGCCTTTTTGTCTTTCGCTTTCAACAGTTTGATTATGTGTCTTAGTGCAGATCTCTTTATGTTTATCCATCTTAGTATTCATTCAGCAGCTTGGATATGTAGATTCATGTCTTTTTTGATCAGGATGGAAGGAAGCTAAAAAGAAAAAATAGATTCATATCTTTTATCAAATTTAGCAAATTTTCAGTCATTATTTTCTTAAATATTTTTTCTGCTCATTTTTCTCTTTCTTCTCCTTTTGGAACTCCCATTATGCAAAGTTGATATGCTTAATGGTATGCCATGTCTTGTTTTCTCCTCCACTTTAATGTTTTGTCCCAGGCAGCATTGGGCTATTTACTTGCCTTAACCATGTTTTCAAGGAATGCCTCTGTCTAACCTTGGACCAGGGTCCCACACTGAAAATGTGGCTGCTTTCTTCAAAATCCTTTGCTAGTTAGGGAGGCAGGTAGAGCCAAAGACTAGTTAAAATGCTGGAAATATTTCCCAATGTTTTTTCCCCACCTTTTTATTGTAGTAAATACATATAAAATGTGCCATTTTAACCATTAAATCTACAGTTCTGTGGCATTAAATACATTCATAATGTGCAACCATCACCACCATCCATCTCCAGAATTCTTTTCATCTTGTGAAGATGCAACTCTCCACCCACCAGACAGTAATTCCCTATTCTCCTCTCCCCGCAACCCCCGACAGACATCATTCTATTTTATGTCTATATGATTTTGGCTACTATAAATACCTCATATAAGCGGAATCATGCAGTATTTGCCTCCTTGCAACTGGCTTATTTCACTTAGCATAATGTGCTCAAGGTTTATCCATGTTGTAGCATATGTCAGAATTTTCTTCCTTTTCAAGGCTGAATAATATTCCATTTATGTATATACCATACTTGCTTATCCATTCATCAGTCAGTGGCAATTGGGTTGGTTCCACATTTAGCTCTTTTGAAAAATGCTGCTATGAACATGGTTGTCCAAATATCTCTTTGAGACCCTACTTTTCAGTTCATTTGGGCTACAGCCAGAAGTGGAATTGCCGGATCACATGGTCATTCTTTTTAACATTTTGAGAAACTGCCACACTGTTTTCCATAGCAGCTGTACCATTTTACATTCCCACCAGTAGTGCAGAAGGGTTTCAGTTATTCCTCATTCTTACCAACACTTTTATTTTTTTCATAGTAACCATCCTAAAGGGTGTGAGGTGGTTTCCTGTTTTTAAGTTGCCATTTTCTTGGTTCTGAGTTCACTTGATTGCCGTAAACCTTTGAATAATTTCCAGAATTCTGAAAAAGTTTATTCTGACACTTTGATGTTTTATGGTGCTTCTGTGGAGCTATTTTGGCTGACATCACTGCCTCTCATCAAATTCTTAGTATCACTGTATTTCACTGATTTATATGGAGCAATGTAAAGTTTGTTTTTGCTCTGAAGTGAAGCAGTATACAAAATAAACTGCTGTTATTACCAGTCATTCCAAATTGGGAATTGAATATTACCAAGTTACCAAAATTGAGTATTTGCCAGAATTGTTATATATATATATATATATATATATATATATATATATATATATATTCAGAAATATTTTATATTTTTGTTCTCTGGGATTTTTACCTGCTTTTTTGCTATATAATTTACATGCCATACAATTTATTCATTTAACGTGTACCACTCAGTGTTTATTATATTTGAAGATTGTATGCTCGTTACCACAATCTTAACTTTAGAAAATTCTATTGCCCTAAAAGAAACTCCACATCCACTCATCTTTATTTCCCATTCTTCTGTGTTCCTTTCACCTCTAGCCCTAAGCAAACACTAATCTACTTTCTGTCTTTGTATATTTGTCTATTCTGGACATTTCATGTACATAGAATTATATAATATGTGATATTTTGTGCTTGGCTTATTTTACCTAGCATAATCTTTTCAAGGTTCATTCATGTATTTATTGTGTGTCAGTTCTTCTTGTCATTTTATTGACAAATATTTCACTGTATAGATATATTGTTTATCCATTTATCACTTGATTATAATTTGGGTTGTTACCACTGACTATTACAGGTAATGCTGACATGAACATTTATGTAAAATTTTTTTGTGTGTTGGTATGTTTTGTATTTTAGTTAAATCTAGCTTATTCTTTGAAAAGTATTGAGAGGATTTTTTTTTTTTTTTTTCCTGAGAGACAGAATCTTCCTCTGTCACTCAGGCCAGGATGCAGTGGCGTAATCATAGTTCACTTGCAGCCTTGAACTCCTGGGTTCAATAGGTTGAAAAGAATTTTTTTTTTTTTTTTTTTTTTTTTTGAGACAGGGTCTCTGTCTGTCACCCAGGCATGAGTGCAGTAGCATGAACATGGCTTACTGCAGCCTTTACCTCCTGGGCTCAGTGATCATCCCACTTCAGCCTCCCAAGTAGCTAAGACTATGGACATGTACCACCATGCCTGGCAAATTTTTATTTTTTATTTTTTTGTAGAGACGGGGTCTTGCCATATTGCCCAGGCTGGTCTTGTATTCCTGGCTTCAAGCAATCCAGCTGCCTTGACCTCCCAAAGTGCTGGGATCACAGGCATGAGCCATCATGCCCAGCCTGGAATTTTTAAAAATTATTTAATTCAGTGGAATTACATCTTCCTTCTGAGTCATCTGCGTCAAATAACCTTACTCATGTAATAAAATAAATACAGAGAGAGTTTTCACAGTATAAGACAATTATGTCTTAGGGCTATTGGGGCTTTTTTTTTAAGTGAACAATCCTGCTACAGGCTTATCCTTAATTATCATTGTAAGTGAATTCCTTGTATATTACATATACAGCTGCTCTAATCATTTGTCTAATGCAATCTTTAAATAACATAATAAAAATCTCTTTAAATGGGAGAGTATTTTATCTTCCTGAGCCCCTACTCATACAGTATGTGAAGTAGAGCAGACGAGTGAAACTTCTAGGTTTGGGTTGTTTGTTTCCTGAGTCCTTAGACCGGGGCAGTAATCCAACATTGTGGAAGTTCATTTGATTTTAGTAAAGCACACCCCTCCAAATAGAAAGGTTCCAGATTAATGAGGATAGCAGGTGGCTGGACCAGAAAAACAGACCAAATGGTAGAAGATAGAAAACAATGGAAACAACAAGAACCACAAAAAACAAACACAAAATTACAAAAGAGCAATATTTATGGTAATATGTTAATCGGATTAGTTCCTTAATTTAAAAAGGTCAGATTTTGGCAGCACACAAGGCTCAACAACAACTGCGTATTTCCATAACACAAACATTCGTAGCTAACTTCAAAAGGCTGAAGGCAGAGAGGTTGGCAGACATATACCAGGAAAATGCAAACATTAAAACAAGGGTAACTCTATTTAATGAGATAAAGTTGAATATGGTGGGGTCAGAGAGGAAGTGTTCCTCTCTGAGAATAAAGAGTCTCGCGTTTTCAAGGTGAAAGATACTATCCAATTAGGATACACAATTATACATGAAGTAGGGTTGCTATACAAAAAGCTTAAACTGTAGAAAATAGAAGAATGGCACAAGCACAGTTGTATTGGGATATTCTAACTTACTCCCTTAGTATCAGTACATAAAGTGGTAAAAATGAAGTACATCTGTAGAAAATTTCTTAATGTGATAAAGTGGAGCTAATGAGATCTACTGGGGTCTGTTATCTATTATGAAGAATCTCCCTTTATCTTGGCTTGGGCTCTTTGGGAAACTCTAGAGTGGGGATACGCATTTAAGTTTTTTGCAGGTGGTCTTGAGGCCACGATTGGTACTCATCTCTCTGCTCTACTACTTATTCTAGATTCACCTCCACCCTTGGCTAGTACTTCTGCTAGTCTGAGGTTACTTACTTGGTAAAATAACCTGACCTTTCATCCCTTGGGGGTTCAGGGCAAGTCAGGATTGCTACTGTGAGACCAAAGCTGACGAGGTCCCACCATCTAGATAGTTGCGGGTCACTTTGTCGGAAAGAGAAAGCCAAGTGATGTGCATGGATGGCTCTTCTTTGCTTGGAAGTGACACACATGACTTCTGCTTAGAGTGCATTGACAAAGCTAGCCATAGACTTGCTTAATTTGTAAGGAAACTCGGAAATGTGGGGAGAGCAGACTTCAGCATAGTGGTGAGCCCCAGCCTCTGCCACAGTCTGTTCTTCTGGCTGGCAAACATTCCTTTGCTCCCTTTATTCCACACCTTCTTAAGGGAAATAACCCAAAGTTCTATTCCATCAAGACATTTATCAAATCCAGGCATTGTTCCTCTTGGTCCAGAAACATAGGAACTGGAATGACCAAATTATATGGCCAACCCTATAACCACTGCTCCCCTGCCAAATACCATAGATGGAGTGGTCAGACAGGGCCAGTGTTATCACAGTGAACAATCCCATTTAGAAAACTGAAAAATGCAGTCATTGGTTAGTTGTAATTAAATTCTTCTGTACAGACATTGTGAGTGTCCCTTGCCGTGGGTGGGGAATATTCCTAATCAGTCCTCCTGACTGATCTCTGTGGTTCTCTATAGTACCTGGCTCTACCCTGTGGGAGAGTCATCTTTTTGCTATCCTCATGAATATATCTAAAGTGGATATTGAAGAATGTATTTTCCTTGAGGGCTGCTCACCTTTCTCAGCCTGCTTCTTACCTATAAAAGATTGGGGCCCAAGGGTCATTTTAAGGCCATCCTTCTCAGCCTTGCCACTATTGACATTTTGGAGCAAACAGTTCTTTCTTTTGATGATGGAATGTTTAGTAGCATTCCTGGCCTCTACCCACTAGATGCCAGTAGCACTCCCCAGTTGTGACAATCAAAAATGTTTTCTGACATTGCCAAATATTATTTTGGGGCAAAATTACTGTGAATTGAGAACTCCTGTTTGAAGTGTAGAAGGATCATAGACCTTTGGCGTTAGGTCTGACAGTTAACTAACTCTTTCAGAAATTTAAGAGATTTCTTATCTTTCTGATTGTAGTTCCTTTCATAGTATCTTTTTTAGCTCATGGGTCCTGTATTCTTGGACTTAATTGAGGCTGTCTTCAGTCTTCCTGTAAGCTTTCAAGCTTCTGTTGGCAGACTGAGGCAAATTTATCAATTGAAAATTTTACAGGACTTTTTCCCTGAAAGGGTTTCATAATTATTATGTGAAAATGATGCATAGAAACCAACCCAAGATATCAGTGGCTTAAGGCAATATTTATTGTTTACTTGGGTCTGCAGGGTTGGCTGTGTGACACTGCTCCAAACTGTGGGTCAAGTTCAGGCTTGTCCCATATTCAGGTTTCAGCATCTAAACTGAAGCATACACCAGAGACATCCTTTTCTCATGGTGAAAGGTAGAAGAGCAAGAGCTATGCTGAGTCAAACACATTCCCCCATATTCCATTGGACAAAATAAGACAAGTGACTGAACCTATCGATAGGGTGAGGACACAGTCTGGGGTGAGCAGGAATATTTGCAGAACAATCTACCATACTTTCTTCCAGGGGTCTAGTAGCATTTAGCTTTTCCAAAATGGCAAGACCCTGAAATTCTAGGCTCTGTTCCCTTTTATTTCTGCTTTAAAAGGTGGCTACTTCTTTTAAATGCAACCAGTAGCTACCAACACAAACTACTGAAGTTTTGCTTTCCAGTCTTTTCTAGAGCAGGGTTCAACAAACTTTTTCTGTCAAAGCCATGTAGTAAATATTTTAGGCTTTGTGGATAATAGTCTGCGTCACAGCTACAAGACTCTGCCATTGTAACACAAAAGCAGCCATAGGTGATCTGTACTTGAATGAGCATGACTGTGTTTCAGTATCAGCACTTTCTTTACAAAGCAGGCAGGCCTTAATTTGCCAGCCCCTGTGCTAGAGCTTCAGGTTCATTGTACAAGTGGCTGTGCAGGTGACAGCTTCATGAAATGTTTTGTTACTACGTAACCTAGATCACCTTTCCAGCCTTCGATGTGAGTTTCCCTGCTGCTCAACTGCTAAGCCAGGATCTTATGTTTTTATAATAATTAACACCCCACCTCTGACACCAGTTTCAGTGTTAGAATAGACTCAGCTGTACTGAATAACAGATAAACCCTTAATTCTCAGTGGCTTAGCACGACTCAGGCTTATTTCCTTTGCTGAATGTGTGGTGCAGATCATGGTGGGTTTGTGGACTGTGCGTTTACATAGATGATCAGCAACCCAGGCTGCCAGAGAATCCTCTGGAAAGTTCCTAATCACCAAAGCAGGGCAGGAGATGACAGGAAGTTGTGCACTGGCCCTTCTCTTCTTTACTTCCACTCACATCCCATGAACTAGAACTACCCACGTGCCCTTGCCTAACTGAGGAAGCTAGAAAAATTGGGGGAAGAAGACAGAATGTTGGGTTAGTTCCACTGCCTGCATAAATTCTAAGTTGCTATTCTTATATATAGTTAGCAGTGTAATTAACAGCTGTAAGGTACATATTGATATATATGGATGAATTTCAATTAATAGTCTTTGAGGCTTTTTTTGACAATTTTTTTGCTTAACAAAAATATCTGTCTTTAAAAATTGTTACTTTGCTCTTAATTTTTTCACAATGAAGTGCTTGAAATTGGAATGTTATTTCTAAATTGGAATCTGCTAGTATAAAGAGCCAGTAACCTTCAACCATCACACTAAACATTGAAGTAGTATCAAAGCTTGTAATATTTATTCTTAAACATGCAGTGTTTCTTTGCTGAGGTACTGTATTTTAGAAGTATTAGCAACATTATATTTACAGAATACCAATAATGAAAATTTTTTTCTTCTGTTTCATTAAGACCTTTGAATTGTTGGTATATTTAATTTCATAAAACCACTAGATTACATATCTTCTAAACCCATCCATGATTGCCTGTCGAAATATGTTAAAGACAACATACATGCTTTTCTGTATGTTAACATTACAAAAGTAATACAAAAGTAATAGTTGTCTTTCAAGCAGGCTATTTTCCTTTTTTGTATTAATCGGT
Organism: Homo sapiens; assembly: GCF_000001405.40. Lineage (NCBI taxonomy): Eukaryota > Metazoa > Chordata > Mammalia > Primates > Hominidae > Homo > Homo sapiens. The sequence goes on from NC_000010.11 coordinate 48,419,272, forward strand.
GATATTTAATATGTATACTGCATGTCAGTACAGGTAATACAGTGCATTTGTGTTGTGGATTTATGCTTTCTTCGTTTTTTGGTCCTTTGGCTTATAATAGTATTCATCAAAGCTAACAGGCAAAGTATGTTAAACATGAAGCCATGAGTGTTTATGCTGCTGCCTGACTTTTGATGGGCACAGCACAGAATATGTTAAAGTAGGGGCCAGGTGAAAAATTCTGAATTATTCAGTAGTATCTATAGCAAGTAATTTTATAGATTAGTGGCACCAAGGCAATGGTGTCCTACTTCTACAAACAGACAGAAATTTTATAGCAAATTTGTGTGACTTCAGGTGGGAAATCAGGGATGGAAAAATGGATAATGACTCTTCTAGTCCTTTGGAACTGGGTATCTGCCAGTCTAAAAGATCAAATAACATTTGTTAGGATTGACAAGATGGCTCGTTGTTGACTTAAAACATCTGTATAAAGCTTATTGTGACTTTAAAATGAGATTTTAAAAATATTGGTAATATGTTATGCAAATGAATATAAATGCTAACTTATGACTTTCTTTTACTATAGTAGTTTTTTTATGTGAGCTTTGCGATGTCTTTTCAAATCCCTTTTACTCTAACCAAAAATGTCTAGCTAATCATAATTTCTAGCAATTAAAACATTACTAACTTCTCTAATAACTGTATGTATTCATAAATTTTAAATCCCATAAAACTGACTTCTCAGGTTTGCCTTTTAACGATGAATCAGTGCAGTAATATTACAGTGAGAAAAACGAACAATTAACATGAATGTTTTGCAAGGGATAGTATAACTTTATTGTGAACTGTAGGATTTTCCTATATATCATGGCAGTCATTTTTTAATTTTTATTTTCTGAAGGACTTAAAGCCCAGTAATATAGTAGTAAAATCTGATTGCACTTTGAAGATTCTTGACTTCGGTCTGGCCAGGACTGCAGGAACGAGTTTTATGATGACGCCTTATGTAGTGACTCGCTACTACAGAGCACCCGAGGTCATCCTTGGCATGGGCTACAAGGAAAACGGTCAGCACACACATTTATTTGAAATATTTTTCTGATTTAGCTTTTTTCTTTATTCAGTAGATTTTTAATGTAAATACTTAAGCAGAAGTACGTTGAGTTAAATGTGTATCATTGTTTGAAATGTGTATCAAAAGTTTGCAGGTAACTATAAATTTTTTCATCAATGTTTGGAAAAACTTGGGGCCCTTATTTGTTTAAATACGGATACATAACATCAGTACTACCATTGGATGAAGAATTTGTTGCCGTGGCCCTGAGACAGAATTTATGCTCTTTGCTTGCCTATAACTTGAAAATGAACATTTCTAACATGGTCTCAGGGATGTATAGTGTACTGACAGTTTATTATTAGTGTACATCAGTGATATTTGCCTATATTTCCAACCCCATGAAACTAAAGCTCATAGCAGTAGCACTCATTGTAAATTTTAAGAGATACATTAAGGCCTCTGCAAAGCTGATGGATAATTAAGGTGACCTCTTGAAGGAAGCAGTAAAGTTTCATTAAAACGTTGTATCCAGCCTTAAGGAAATGACTTTTAGTATTTTGTATGGGTATATCCAGTTGTATCAATCAACCTAAGAATCAGTGTTGAACAAAATTATCTGGCATGTAGATCATGAATTTAAACATTTTGTATGCATATACCTACTTATATTTAATTTAGGAAGAAATTTTGTTGAGTCTTAGAAATTTAGGAGATGAATAAATCTGCTAAGAAGCATGGGATTTTATGGAAATAAACCATCGTTTTAAAAAATGTGGTGACTTCATCCAAAATACTACCAAGAATAAAACCTAGACATTTTTTCTGGCAAGGAATCTGGAATAGCAGTTCATTTTGAATCAGGAAATTGTAATAAGTCAACTTTTAAGATTCTTTTTTTATAAAAGATACAATTAAGCTGAGCTTGATTTTCTGAGCTGATTAAAAACAAATACTTTAAACATTTGCTATTAATTTTTTATTCTTAAGTAAATATGCTGTTCTTTTTACTTACACTCTACCTGAAATTTGAAGTTTTTTATTTTTTGGGAATTGATAACTTCACGTGACCCACCAGCATGAAGATTGCTTTTGCATTTGCTGTAATTGATTGTCATAGATATGGTGTTATGTGTCAGTGTCCTATAAATATGATCTTAGGATAGCTCCCTGCCAGAAATTAGCACTAAGAAAAACTGTCATATATAGAATTGAGGCTGGGTATGGTCGCTTACACCTGTAATCCCAGCACTTTGGGAGGCCGAGGCTCGTGGATCACTCGAGGCTAGGAGTTCTAGACCAGCCTGAGCAACATGGCAAAACCCTGTCTCTACTGAAAGTACAGAAATTAGTCAGGTGTGGTGGTGCACACCTGTAATCCCAGCTATTCTGGAGGTGAGGCATGAGAATCGCTTGAACCCGGGAGGTGGAGGTTACAGTGAGCCGAGATTGCACCACTGCATTCCAGCCTGGGCGACAAAGCAAGACTCTGTCTCAAAAAATAAAATAGAATAAAAAATGAACTGACATATGGTTCCTCTTTAGTTAAGAATTATGTAGATCACCTTCTTGCCTTCCCACTCCCACCCTAGGAAACGGAGTCAAATGTAATGCTTAATGATTATAACTACATTAGCCAGCAAGGTTAAACATAAGTACTTCCTCCTTTTAATGACACCTCACACTCATTTTATTTATCTTATTTATTTATTTATTTATTTATTTATTTATTTATTTATTTTTGAGATGGAGTCTCACTCTGTTGCCCAGGCTGGAGTACAGTCATGCCATCTTGGCTCACTGCAGCCTCCACCTCCTGGCTTCAAGCCATTCTCCTGCTTCAGCCTACGAGTAGCTGGGACTATAGGCATGTGCCACCATGCCTGGCTAATTTTTGTATTTTTAGTAGAGACAGGGTCTCATTATGTTGGCCAGGCTGGTCTTGAACTCCTGACCTTAGGTGATCCACCTGCCTCAGCCTCCCAAAGTGCTGGGATTACAGGAGTTTGAGCCACAACGCCTGGCCTCCCACCCATTTTAACAACTTTGCTTTATGTACCTTTTATTGCAGGCTACTCAGAGCATTTTGGAAAGCAGTGTAATCAATATATTTTTAACTGCTTAATAGACTAAGCAGTTAGTTTACAGCTAGAGTTGTGCATGAATCAGACTTATGTTCCTAGTCTTCACTGGCCCAGATAATATCTTCTCTCATGCTTGCAGCTTTCAAAATACTTTTGTTTAAAAATGAGCTTTTCTGAAAGTTACCAAATAAGTTGTAAGCTGGATATTTAAAGTTTAACATTCTCTATAAAATCTGTAGAGAAGATTTATTCTAATAGATTTTTGTCAAAAACGGAAACCTTAGAAAAAATTTTTCTCTGAGGCACTAATTTATAAATATTAAATTTTTTTTCTAAAATCTTATCCTTGAAAGCTGAACCATGACATAAATATGAAAATATTCATTCATTTTAATATGACATTTTAGGGAAACTTTAGTTCCACAGTATTTCCAAAAGTAATTTCCAGTTTAGCTCTTAAGACTCTTCAGTGAACTGGCAGCCTTTTAATAAGAATGTACTGTATTAGAAAGTACAGGCTTTAATTTTCTAAGTCCTTTAACATGAGTAAAGGGCACGTGTCTTTCTGACATCTATTTGTGCCGTTTTCCACTTGTCATTTTAAAGAATTGGGACCTTCAGATGTCACAACTAAATGCAAGTTTCTAAGGCTTTTCCTTCTAAATTGCTCATTCTTCCCTCTTTTCCTGTTACACTGCAAGCACTTACTCTCTCCTTTTTGTGTGATGTTCAAACCCAAAGGCATAAAATGCCACGATGTGTTGTCAGTTTCCCTTAGTAAGTGGAGATTCCAAATTGTCTGTTTCTGTGTCTAGCAGATTCTTGTCAACATTGATTGGGATTCCCATTTACAGTTGGCAAGGGTCATCAGTAAGTCTTCCAGGAGACTCTTCATACTCAATTCGTGGGAACTGACTTACTGTATCTAGCCAAAACTAACTTCTTAAGCCAAAAGCAGTTTGGTTTTATGGGTTTAAAAAACTTTAGGTAGGAAACATGAAATACATTTCTCTTACTAAGTTTTCCTTGATTAGTTGTTCATTCTCTGTGCACTTGTTCCTTTTGGGATAGTAGGGTAAATGTAGCATGATGTTGCCAAGAAAACAAATGGACTTTTAATTCAGAACAAGCATAGCACTTCTCAGTTAAATGTATTTGGGAAATCCAGTTTAAAAATTCCAAAGAGCTTTAGATTAACTTTTTTATCATAATTATTCATAGAGATTATTTCTGTTAGATATTTTAATATGCTGAATTATTTTCTCATGCTTTTTTCTTAGAGAGTATAATGCACAGTTGAACTTCTAAATAGTATAGTATAACAATTTTATTTTTATAATTTTACTACCTCATGTACATTTTTATTTACAAAGTTTGTGTTTGGTTCTATTTCATATTTTATAAACAAGTTCTCAGGGACAAACATGCAGGGTTTTTCTATTTATGCAATTTCTGTGCATAGCTCTCACTTTGAAATTAGATATGTAGTTAAAATGCCACACTTTACATTTTCTTTTGTGAACCAGACTTTCAAAAAATAATTTGTGTTTTAAATTATTCCGTTAGCTAAAGTTACAATCACTTTTTTTCTTTTCGTGACGTTTTGCAGTTTTTATATAATGCAGTCATATTATGCTTCTTTGATTTTAATGACCTTTTGCTTTGCTTTTCCTTCTTTTGTGCTGCAAACATATAGTGGATTTATGGTCTGTGGGGTGCATTATGGGAGAAATGGTTTGCCACAAAATCCTCTTTCCAGGAAGGGACTGTATCCTTGTGCTGCTGCAGCAGTTAATTAGTTAGGCGATGAACTTCTTTATGTTCTCTAATGAAAATGAATATGCTACATTTACACAGATGGGTTTTTAAACAGGCATAAAGTTTGTGGCTATTATAGTTCAAAAATTGTTGAGATAAGAAGCTGAAATATTTGTAGGCTGCATCTGGCAGTAGGACATACAGTCTCTGCTGGTAGTCAGAGCACATTCACTGTCACTCATTTTTATTTTATACTGCTTTTTATAATTTTAAAGTATACATGGTGTGTGTGATTTTATTTCTTTCTTTTTTTTTTTATTTTAACCAAAATCTTTATGTTAATGTCATTGCATTTTGTTTTCAGTTGACATTTGGTCAGTTGGGTGCATCATGGGAGAAATGATCAAAGGTGGTGTTTTGTTCCCAGGTACAGATCGTATCCTTATCTTTGGCCTAAAATGTAGTTTCTAAAGGTCAAAATGTATGATAGCACTTCAGTTTGGTCAGGTATAATGTATTTTGTCTCTCCCTAATATATTGTTAAATTACTCTTAAAATACCACCTACTATTTGACATAGACTTTTCCTTCCGTTATTTATTGTTTCATATGTTAATTCTGAACCCTGCTCAATTGTAATTATGCACAATTACTTGCTGGCTTTGAGTTGATTTAACCTAAATCAAAAATCATGGCTTGCATTAAAAATTTATAATAATTATACACTTAAGTCTAGAAATACGTACAACTTAATATGAATTTTGGAGCTGTCTGTTGCTTCTGGCCATCCTTTTGTTTTGTCCCCTACCTCCTTTTTGTTAATGTTCTGTGTGGTTTGTGTCTTTTGATTGTTGTCTCATTACTCACATAACATACTGACCCTTTCATCTGAGAATTTCAGCAGTAGTAGTTTTGTATGGTAACGATAGCTTTGGATTCATACTTTTTGTTCATCCCACTACTTTTAATATTTATATTAACAGTGATTTGTTATGTGTTTACCAGCTAGTAACACTTAGAATTGTTTCAGGAGGAAGAATGGGAAAAGGCATATTCACAAGGTTACAATAAGTGAGTTTTAGGCCTTGGCCTTCAGGGTCCTGGAGTGTAAAGACTAGAGGAAAGGAGACCAAGAAATCCTAACCTTACAACTTAGCAAAAAACTGAATCTTTTTTATAAGGGTCAGAGCTTTAGAAAATTTTTTTAAACCTAAGCTAAACAAAGAATGGCAAAAGAAAATGCCACTTTTATCGAAGCCTTTATTTTTATTACAACTGATTATTTTCTGTTAGTGTAGAAAACTCAGTAAAACAGGATGTGTTCTAGAAATATTGTCTAGGAGATATAATCATGTTTTCTGATAAATTGACAGAAAAGGAAAAATTTTGTATATTATTATAGCATTGTGTGCAGTTTGCAGTTAGAGCCACTATGGATAGTAATTGTCATTATTCTTAGTTGCTTATCATTTTATTTAGAATTTGTGAGTTTAAGCTTCCATTTTAAGGTAAAATCAGTTAGTTTGAACACACAATAAATAAGGTTAATAAAGCTTATTTATTGATCATTTCTGTCCACCTACAATCATTGCCTTTTGCAGGGTGCCTGTGAGATATAAAATTTATAACTGCCACATCCTTTCTTAGGAATTTTTAAATTTCTATTTTCTTGTAATATGAATATGACTAATGTATTGAACATTAGTTATGGAGTATTTTTCTTAGCTACTTGATATTAGATATTGATCAGTGGAATAAAGTTATTGAACAGCTTGGAACACCATGTCCTGAATTCATGAAGAAACTGCAACCAACAGTAAGGACTTACGTTGAAAACAGACCTAAATATGCTGGATATAGCTTTGAGAAACTCTTCCCTGATGTCCTTTTCCCAGCTGACTCAGAACACAACAAACTTAAAGGTACTTTTTACAAATATGTACATTTAATCCCATTTGGGGTGTGTAGTGTGTGTGTATGGGTTTGTGTGTTTATATGTATTCATATTCTTATGGGACATGAACCCAAGGTTTTCTCTGGATGGTGGGGAAAAAAATGAGGTTTTTGTTTTTTTTTTCTTTAATCTTATATATTTTAATCATATGTATAAGATAATTTTACAGTAATATTTTTAAAACATATGCTTTTTAAAAAATCTCAAATTGCTGAAAGTTATTAATAATTTGAGAATCTTTACAAATATATGTACATTAACACCATTATGTTTGCAGCCAGTCAGGCAAGGGATTTGTTATCCAAAATGCTGGTAATAGATGCATCTAAAAGGATCTCTGTAGATGAAGCTCTCCAACACCCGTACATCAATGTCTGGTATGATCCTTCTGAAGCAGAAGCTGTAAGTTATTTTCTTAATGTTTACAGAACATATTGCATTCTTAGAGTTAGAATGACAGTTAGGTTTGGAGGAGACCTTTTAATTTTAAATAAAAATGTAGATACATGATGATGATGTTTTTCTGTTTCTTCATGAAGACTACGTCAAATAAACTAATGAACATATTCGAGCCCCTCCTACACAAAATAAAGTTACCTCCCACTGTTTTTTGCAATCTTGCCTGGATACCTAACCAGAGAACTAGGATGTTGAATGCTCTGGGGGAACATCCTAACTCAGGTATAAAACAAATTACTGTATCCAAAGGAAAACAGAATTCTGTGATCTGTGATATAAATAAAATGTGGCAATTTCAAGAGCTAGAAGAAAAGAAAAAAGACAGTTAAACATTTTATTTCCTGCAATGAAGGAGTCTTCCTAAACTATTATGTCTGTATAAGTAAGTTGATGATTGATCAGTCTTGATCTAATGATATATTTTTATAAGTCATCTGTGTGGCTAATATTTCAAATAACTACAGAGTTAAAATACTCCCAGCATACTGACTTGGTTATTATTGCCTTGTGTTTTTCAGCCACCACCAAAGATCCCTGACAAGCAGTTAGATGAAAGGGAACACACAATAGAAGAGTGGAAAGGTACATTCGTCAGATTCTTAGAGGGAAAACTGTGAAGGAGCTTCTGGTTTTTATATGGTGATTTATTATCATGTTAGAGAAATTTGTGACTTTAATATGCATAACCGAAATGTGGTAATATTAATATTTTTACATAAGTAGAAAGTAAGTCTGCTTCCTTCCTTAACTTAATCTTAAGTTCCCAAGTTTCCCACCCCAGACACAGACACATTAGTGCTCTGTCTCATATTTTTTTCCATGGTTTGTGAATACACAAATGTGTTTAGTGTCTCCCACCTCTCCTCTTCCACCCTTTTAAAATCACGTATGGTTGTGTACGGTGTATGCTATATGTACTTGCTTTGTTTATTTATTATATATTTTTTTGAGTTGGAGTCTCGCTCTGTCACCCAGGCTGGAGTGCAGTGGTGTGATCTCGGCTCACTGCAAGCTCTGCCTCCCGGGTTCACGCCATTCTCCTGCCTCAGCCTCCTGAGTAGCTGGGACTACAGGCGCCTGCCATCACACCCGGCTAATTTTTTTGTATTTTTAGTAGAGACAGGGTTTCACCATGTTAGCCAGGATGGTCTCGATCTCCTGACCTCGTGATCCACCCGCCTCGGCCTCCCAAAGTGCTGGGATTATAGGCGTGAGTGCTTTGTTGATATAATCAGATATCTGGAAGGTTATTCTCTTTTAGTTCACGTATCTGCCTCTCTTGCTTTAATAACTGGTTAGTGTTCTGCTGTATGAATATGTCACACTTTATATATCCATCTCCCTCTTGGTGACCATTTAAATTGTGTCCAGTCTGTTGCTGTTAGAAACAACTCTGCAATATTCATGTTCACATATGAGAACATGCCTGGAAGAAAAATCCTGGAAGGAGATGTTCTGAGCCAAAGATATTTTTCAGTTATTTCCAAATTACTCTCCAAAGAAATGGTAGTAGTGTACACTTCCGTCCATGTTATATAGGAGTCTCTCTTTGCCCTCACCCTTGCCTACAGAATGGGTTAATTTTTAATATTTGTAAATCTAATGTAGTTTTATTCTATTTTATGAATGTGGCTGAAATTAATCATGCTTTGATAGTCATGGAAGTTTTCAAATATTTCTTCAAAAGGTGCCCTGGGACATGTGGGTCAGGTAATTTTTAGGTCCCGTTTACTTCCATTTGTGTTATTGTCCTTCAGTGTTTTGACCACTTTTGTAACTGCGTGACTTTGAGTAAATCACTCCCCCTTCATCTCACCCTCCTACACTGCCCCCTGCATTTTACCTCATCTTAAAATAGAGGCAGAAGACCTGTTATTAAGAGTTGTCTCTAAATCCTGGGAAAGGAAAGGGGACTGGGGAGGTATAAACATGAATAAGTGACCCATCTATAAATGTATTTTGCTAAGCATGAATTTGATTCTTTCTTAGAAATTGAAGAGATTTAGAGATTGGTTTTCTCTGAACTTTGGGAAACCCATGGTTAGCAGAGCCCGTGATAAAGTTAGAAGAATGACAAAATGATAAAATTGGATAGAGTCTGCTGCATTTGAATATGTAATGTGCATTTGAATATGTATAAAGATATAGCTCTGTACTGAGTATGTATGAAAACATTAACCTAATATTTTTACATCCTACTAATTTACAGTAGACGATGAAGTATTTTGTAGAATCTTGTGGTTTTTTTGGTTGTTTTTTTTGTTTGTTTGTTTTTTTGAGACAGGGTCTCACTGTGTCCCCCAGGCTAGAGTGCAGTGGTATGATCATGGCTCACTGCAGCATCAAAACTCCTGAGCTCAAGTGATCCTGCTGCCTCAGCCTCCCCCGTAGCTGGGATCACAGGTGTGATCCACTGCACTTGGCTAATTTTGTTTTTTTTTTTTGAGACAGGGTCTCACTGTGTTGCCCAGGCTGGTTTCAAACTTCTGGGCTTAAGTGATCCTCCTGCCTCAGCCTCCCAAAGTGCTGGGATTATAAGTCTTAAGCCACTGCGCCCAGCCTAATTTTTAAAAAAAAATTTTGTAGAGATGGGGTCTCACTGTGTTGTCCAGGTCATAGACTCTTAATAGGCCAGCAGTTGTAAGGCACACCATTATGTGCCACAAAGAAAAAAACACCTTCGGTTGTACAGCACCATTGGTTATAAGATATAGTCAATTTCAGAGATTAAACTGTGAAAAAAGTACATCTTAAAATCAGTGAGATACAGTGTTTTCATTTGTATAAGGATATATTTGGGGGTTTTGATTGCTTTAAAAACATTTACCTTTATTCTGTATCCTTTACTCCTAGCCCCAGGTGCATGTCAGTAATTACCCACAGACTGCCTTTTTCAAGATCTACTTAAGAGTTTTAGCGCATAGCAGAAAGAAAGATTAATTGCCAAAGCCATTAATTACAGATGGCTTTGCCTAGTTAGTGCTCCTAATTAGTTTTGGTTCTTCTGCCTTAATCCCTTTGTGCTTTTTCCCAGAGGAGTGCTATTTTCTCTCTTAAAAAATCCTCTTACTGCAAATGTTTATCATTCCTTTTTGTTTCTTTGAAGAAAACCATCTCTTATTCTCTCCTTTATCAGTGCTTTCTATTTTTCTCCTTCCAAGCCTTAAGTTACTATAGCAAACAAACTTATCTCCAGTTGTTGTTCATTCCAACATATTCATTTGTTTTACCTTATTACCAATATAAATGTCATACTCTGTAATCAGGGATTCTTTATCAGAATTTTATTCTTCAGGAATTAACACAGACTCCTTGAAATTCGATGCAATATTTTTTGTTTGTACATTTTTCTCAGAAGAGGGTTCACTACTTTTATACAATTCTCAAAAGATTCCATGACCCAAAGAAGATGATAAATAGTGTTGATGTGGCATCCACCATTAAGGTTAAGTGTGGTGTGCCCTGTGAGTCTGAATGTCTACTTAAGAACCTTAAGTAGACATTAAGAACCTTAAGAAGGTTTTTTGTTTGTTTTTGTTTTTTTGTTGTTGAGATGGAGCCTTGCTCCGTTGCCCAGGCTGGAGAGCAGTGGCGCAATCTCAGCTCACTGCAACCTCTGCCTCCCAGGTTCAAGCAATTCTCCTGTCTCAGCCTCCCGAGTAGCTGGGACTGCAGGCGCCTGCCCCCAAGCCCGGCTAATTTTTGTGTTTTTAGTAGAAATGGGGTTTCACCTTGTTGGTCAGGCTTGTCTCAAATTCCTGACCTCAGGTGATCCACCCACCTCGGCCTCCCAAAGTGCTGGGATTACAGGCATGAGCCACCACACATGGCCGAAGGTTCTTCTTAAGTAGACATTCAGACTCACAAGGCACATCGCAGTTAACATCAGAATCACTTCTGATGATAATATAAGTGAAGAATATAAGACAGGAGGCGCATATATTAATACCAGCAGAGCAGCTCCCAGTGTGTCTCTTCAGTTGGAACAGTTGTTGCAGTGGTCTACTTGCTGTCCAGAAGCCTGATAAGAGAAAAAGATTCCCATGGAGAAATGTTCTTCGAAGTGATAACCATGCTTACTCATAAGGAGTTGAAATGTAGCTTACCTGCTAGTTTTCCTCCAATAAAAATGTGTTTATCTTTCATTCTGATTTGTTGTGAAGCTTTTGCACACTCTAATTTAAATCTTGGTAGCATATATCTAGTTGAGTACCCACAGTGCACCAGGCTCTATTCCAGGGCCCAGGAAATGGAAGTCAGTAAGACACGTGGTTCAAGCCCTCCCTGAGACAGATGGTAGTACAGAATGGTATGTGGTATGATGTGCTGTAGCACAAGTTGCTGGTAGAGTGAAAAAGAAAGCTTCTACCCCAGCACTATCAAACCAACTTCAGAAACAGTGAATTACAGGAAAGATTAGTACTTCCTTTTAATATGATCCATTGTTGAGTGTCAAGGAATTGTTATTAATTAACATCCTTGAATCTTAGGCCGACATTTAACTGACTGTCATTGTAAGGACACTGTTTGAAGTACTTCACATGTATAAAAATTTCCACTTAAACCATACATGCGTTGTGAGATTGGCTCTTAGACTTTGAAAAGTTCATTTTTGTTTACTTCTTTTACAGAATTGATATATAAGGAAGTTATGGACTTGGAGGAGAGAACCAAGAATGGAGTTATACGGGGGCAGCCCTCTCCTTTAGGTTGGTTACAATATAAGCTTGGTTAAGATTACAGTTTACTTCTTGTGTTGTAATCTTCAGTGGCCTGAAACCTGCAGTTCTTCCCATATTTACAAAATCATTATTATTCCAGGCTTAATAAGTATAAGGAAATACAGTTTTGTTTTTTCTACTAATACATTATACTAATATATCAGTAACTGTTCATAAGATGCACATCTTTTTCTATGATACTGACATTCTGAAGAACAGAAATTTAAAAACTTTTTGTTGGCATTGTTGCTGGGTCTTTAAAGAGGAAACTTCTCAAAATTCAATATACATACCTTTCTATGATCTTGACAGTCTTTACTTTGGATAAATAAAAGCTTCACTGCAAAATTTAGTACATGTAATACCAAATTGCTGTCTTTCTCTTTTTGATATTATTGATTTGTTGAATGAAGGCAATAACATTAAAACCATCACTAGAAAGTATTCTTTCTCTAAGAAGAAAACTGGGTTTGTAGGAGTTAAAACTTTTTTTTATCATAAGCTGATCTTATATTTAATGTTAGTACAAGTAAAAGTATAAAGAATAGAGGGGAAAAGTTAAATGGCAGGTAACATGTACACTAAGTACATACCACATAACAGACACTAGTGGTTTATATACTTTATTTCATTCAGCCCCTAAGATCCTAAGGTATAGGATTATTGCACACATGTTATGGATGAGGAAACTAAAGTTCAGAAATTTGAAGTAACATAAGATTCCAAATCTATTATGTAGATGAACTAATACAGTAACTTCAGAGTGTGTGGTTTTTTCAGCCTCCCATTTTGTTATCTGGCTGGCAACAGAGACTTCTCTGGCTACAGAGGTTAGGACAGTTGTATGAAGGAGGTGAAATTTGAGCTGAGCCTTAAAGAGTGAGTAGTATTTCAAAAGATCTTGATTTTGAAGTAAAACTATGCCATTTTAATTCCTCAGAAACTTCTACTTTTGAGGAAAAAAATAGATGTTGTATCTAGCATCTTGTATATGGGTAAGGTTTTTTAAACTATAGCGACATTGTATACTATAAACATAATTGTTTAAGCCATTTTTTGTGGCTTGCTTTGACATTTTTGGTTATATATTTTAGAGTTGTATATTTTAAATCTTTGATCAAGAATGCAATCTTCCAGATTATAGTGTAGATCCTGTTGAATATATGAATTGGTTTTGACCGCTTTTACCTATTTTGGAAATGGCCTTTTCTCTACAATTTACTTATAACAAATTTAAAGCTCTATTATAAATGCTTTGTGTAATTAATTAGCTTTGTATTGCTATATAGTAGTAGTAGTAACAATTGTTCATGATGGAGGCTCAGGTGGGATTTGAAAAGTTCATTATGTGGGACAGTTTTATACTTTAGCATACTATCCAAGTGAGTGGCACAGCTGGAGTGCCAGATGTTTGAGTAAATGTAATAATTTCATGAGTTAGAGCATTTGTATTTGTTCTTAATTTGTAAGTGAATAATTTGAATCTTAGTCCAGCACTTGCTTATGATCACAAAATAAGTCAGTGAAAAAGATAGAAATTGAGGTTTCTAGACTTTTTCTGGATCCTCAGTTATAGCTTGCAAAGACGAGTATTAGCAAATTAAGCTGTTATAAAAATATTCTGCTCTTGATTTTGTACTAAAACAGAAGGAGTAGTGTTTGGTAAATCAAAATACCAGATAACCACAGTACCATTTCCACTTGATTTTTAAAAGGAATTTTATTCTTTTTCCCTGTCGAGTGCCTTCCTATCTTTGTTTTGGTTTGGCTAATAGTAAAGTAAGTTTACCTGCCTTGAGTGTATAGAGGCTCACTTAAGAGAGGAATGACCCATGTGAGACTAAAGATTTTCCATATTATTACCATTCAGATATTTGAGAATTTACTGTATTGCTTTAAAGAGAAAACAAGTGTGTGTTTTTTCCCCTTAGGTACTTGATTTTTAGATTAAAAAGTTAACAATGCATTTAAAAGTCAATTTTTATCAGATTAAGACATTTGGGTAAAATAATAGACCCTGAACTAGAGGCATATATAAAAATTGTATATGTTGGAGCCCTTTTATGGTTTGAATGTTTCAGTACAAGTCTTAGAAACTAGTCATTGTGTACTATGTATGGTACACAGATATACCATACTGTTCAGTCAGAAAAGGCTCATTCCAAGTATTGATTGAACTAAATAGAATATACTATCTGAATTTCACTCTGACTGGGAAGCTAATGGACCTTTCTTGGGTCTAGGAGATTATCACCTCTTTTACCTCTCATCTCTCAGGCCTGAAATGCTCATCCTGCTTTTCTCTTCCGTTTCAGCTCCCATCACATGCTTTGTCTCTTGTGGTTCCATTCCTTTCTGTATCCCAGTCCCCTCCCTAAAGATTTTCCTATTCCCACTACACTGCCTATTTTCTTTTTGCATTTGAAGAAAAGCTCACAGAAGACTTTTCATATTGAAGTGTTTCATTGCTCATCTGGACAGAATGGAGGGATGATCTCAAATACAGATGCTGGGTTCAGGAGCAGTGGTTTTCAGCCCATTTGGTTTCAGCATCTTTGGGTGCCTGAACCTCACCCTCAGAAATTCTGCTCAGTGTTCCATTTGAAGACCATTGATTTTATTTCATAAATGTATTCTTGAGAACTTTTAAGTAACTTGCATTATTCCAATTTGGAATGACCCTTATTTAGTGTTCATGTGGTTCAGAAGTACTTAGCCTAGTGCATGAGTTACCTTTAACTATCCTTCATCCCCCAGCATAAGTCATTCCTGTCCCCTTCCTAAACCAATCCCCTTGAGAGGATTTCTGTCTCGAGCTCAGGTATTCCTGTTAACTTTTTAAAATCCAGGAAATGCTTGTTAGGTAATACTTTCGGCAAAGGAAACTGTTTGCTCTTACTATATTTAATAAATCCATATTTCTGCTTATCAAGTATTAGAGTAGAAATAAGAAGACCCAAGTTTACTTAACTAGGCCACTTGAGTGACAGTGGCATGTCCCATAACCTCGTGTAAAGTGGGGCAGTTGAATTGAGGTTTCTTCCTGTTAAACTTAATTTTATTCCTTGTCTTGGCATTTGCTTTAAAACAAGATGTGCCAGAAGTACATCTTGTTTCAAATTTGAATCATTTGAATTTTTCCTTTTTAGTGAGAAGCTGTAAAGACTTTTTTGTAGGGAAGTAGCTTTTAACTTTTGTAGTTACACAGTCCTTTAAGATCCTCTGTCCAAAAAAAGGCATTACAGACAGTTTTGCATGTATTATCAGCAGTATTCACACATACCCTGAAGCCCATTCATGGATCTTGCTGCAGGACCATTTCTAAATGTGGTTCAGATGTAAAATTCTTGTCTTAAACTGAAAAACACATTCATTGAAAGGATAGGACTCCACGATTCTAGACATTTTCAGAATTCTCACCTCATAGCTGTCAATGAAGAGTGTTTTTAAGTTAGTGTGTTGGATATCATTTGCGATTATTTTTAGTGAGCCTTCGAAACCCAAGAGAAAAAAATTACCACTGGAGGCAGTCAGTGCAGTGCAAGTAGCTTGATCTGCAGCTGTCTGCAACTGATTTGCTGTTTTGTTTCTCATAGCACAGGTGCAGCAGTGATCAATGGCTCTCAGCATCCATCATCATCGTCGTCTGTCAATGATGTGTCTTCAATGTCAACAGATCCGACTTTGGCCTCTGATACAGACAGCAGTCTAGAAGCAGCAGCTGGGCCTCTGGGCTGCTGTAGATGACTACTTGGGCCATCGGGGGGTGGGAGGGATGGGGAGTCGGTTAGTCATTGATAGAACTACTTTGAAAACAATTCAGTGGTCTTATTTTTGGGTGATTTTTCAAAAAATGTAGAATTCATTTTGTAGTAAAGTAGTTTATTTTTTTTAATTTCAAGTGATGTAATTTAAAACCTAAGTTGTGTTTCAAAACAGCAACAAAACTGTATTGTATTTTTTTTGCTGTAATTAACTGTATAATGTAAACCTAATTATTTTATCATGGTTTAAATTTTTTGCATATTTGCTTTATCTTATGCTGCTGATTTTTTTAACTGAATTTGTAAGATTTTGTTTATCAAAGCAACTATTATGTGGTGACTTGCCTATATCATGAATTATTTAAGATTTTTATAGTTTTTTTTAATTAGAATTTATTTCAGATGTTTTGTTCATGATACTATCCTTCAGGGTTATGTGCTTATCAATGAAATAACCCCAGAGGAGTGAGGGAAAATAACTTGTAGCCAGTTATATTCAGGAATAACTACTGTAAATGATGAACGTGTTAGGAGACCTCCAATATTTGCTACTTGCCAATCCTAATTTAGTTACAAGAATTGGTAGGCAATCCTACTTAATTTTGGCAAAAGCCCCGTCATCTAAATGGCAGAATAACTCAGAGCATGTCTTTGAAGATGCTGGGCGTCTACCACCACCTTATGTCCCCACCCTACCCAACAAAAATAAGTAAAAAGAATATGGTGTATTCTACAAATTTGTGGCATGCTCAAAGTTTATGATCACATAAAGGCAAGAGGATACTTCATGAATAATACATTTCAATGCAAATAAACAGATGGTTCACTTCTACTAGCTATGAGCCTGTTTTTGTATACACTGAGTTAATCTACTCAGGCTGTAGGTCCCAGCAATGTTCTAGAGTCTGGTCTTTCCCTTTCCTGCAGCTTCGGGTCCTTGGACCTTTCCTGTTTCCTATTACTTGGAGTGTCTGTCAGTTGAGCACCAGTTGTTCTGGTGTTTCATTTGATTCTACTTGTAGCATAATCATTTATACGAGCTATTGGGAGGTTCCAAACCCTACCTAGATTTGTGTAGGTGATGTATCAAATGAGCAATATACCGTTCATCTGAAAATAGTAGCACACAGCCATATATAGGATATCATTTTCTAAGGACTGTTTCTTCACATTGAGCAGAGCAGGCATAAATGGTGGTTATTTAGTCTAAGTCTTTTATTTTTTTATACCTGATTTTCAACATAACACGCAATGTGGATGTCGAGTAGTGTTAAGAATGGTGCTGCTCCTGACAAGTGTATGTTAACTGTTTACATTTTCTATCTGTAGAATTATTTCTCTATTACTGAACTTTTCCTAAGTAAAATGTCTTTGAAGTCTCGTTATTTCTGAAATACGTTGTCTGTAATAGACCCAGGCACCTTTTAAATTATCTCTGGAACAAGAGGGATTTCATGTAATGAACTAGGAAATGCATACTCACATAAGCAACAAGGTTCTAGGCAGAAAGCCCCTTGGAATTTGTGACCAACAGGAGCAAGAACAGGTGCGGCTCAACATGCAATGTCTGAAAATTTGCTTGGCATTTTATTCATATATTTAGTGCAAAATTATTTTTGAGTGAGATATTTTACATCACTGTTAATGTGCAATATTTAAGATTAAAATACATTAGCTTTTTTATATACTTTGAAGTAGCAAGTTTGTTTTCGATGGCTTAGAGTCATGATTTCCAGCTTCCCAGCCTTTTTATCAGTCCCTTTTCTAATACAACAAGGTGCATTAATTTGATTAGGCAAATTAGAGTTCTAAGACACTTCTTGAATTGTAGACAGAAAATATTGGATTCACAATTTCAGCAGAAATTTGAGAATGAGTGTGTTTATATTAATTTCACAATTAGCTGTATTTTCTGTAGCATAGATTATGTCACTGTTGCACTTTCACAGCAGACATGCTTTCAGAAGGTTCTCATATTTTATGTTTGATTGCTGATAAGCCATCTCTATTGATACAGATTTTGGTTAAGTAAGGAAAACCAGGTGTGTGTCTGTATCATTTATTGTAAATGCCAGCTGCCACTTGCCAACCATCATGTTCAGTTCAATTCAAAGAAAACAAACTCTCATTACTTAGTGTAAACTAAAATACTTAACAAA
Organism: Homo sapiens; assembly: GCF_000001405.40. Taxonomy (NCBI): domain Eukaryota; kingdom Metazoa; phylum Chordata; class Mammalia; order Primates; family Hominidae; genus Homo; species Homo sapiens. Next base: position 48,437,206 of record NC_000010.11, read on the forward strand.
TTATATCCTAAAAACAAGGTCTCTTTGTTAAATGTTGCATGCCCTAGGTTTTAAATTACTACATCCAAATACAGTTTTCGTCTTAAATTTGTTAAGCTAAATATATGTTGGTTCTTTTTATTTTGGAATCCTTTAAGCATCTTAAACATTTTTTTTTTGAAGAGAAGTTACAAATAACATTTCTATCAGGTAGTACTTGTATGAAACCACCTTTCTTATTCTATAATTTTGATTTTTCAATTTTATATACTTAATATACTCACTGTCTTACTATCAGAAAGTTATTTTGACCAAGATTTTTATTATCTTCATAGATTCAGAAAGAGATGCTAATTCTGTACCAATGTCTTCCTGGTTACTATTCTCTTCCCTCTAATATATACTGGCCATTTGTAAAACCATTGTGTTGTTGGGATCACTTAGTTATACTATACGCAGATAGAGCATCTCAACTCTGTCATAGTGTTTGCTGAACAGTTTTCAGTGTCATGCACCTTTGGCTGCTAATTGTTCCTGACGTGCACTCTTCCGAGTTGGTAAAGGCACAGTGTGTTCATGCCAGACTTCTAAGAGAAACACCAGCCTCTTAAATCAGAAGCCTACACACAACCCCCTTAACAATCCAAAGAAGCTTGATGGTGTGCAAAGAAGCATCCTGCCAGCCTTGTCATTGTTCTGTTCTATGCTAATCCTGCTGTGTTGTCTAAAAGATGGAGGGAAGAGGACATCAGTGTCTGATAGTGAAATCATCAGCAGGAAAGTGAAGCTCTTTCCTTGGTTACAGATAAGACTTGGTTTACACTATTGGCCAGTATCTGCTAAACATATGAAGACTTAACTATTCAGTGTTGCCTAGGCATTCGCCTGCACAACATTTTGAGGTTAGAACATAGAATATTTTCAGAAATACTGTTGTAGTTTGTGAGTGTTGTTCATTAGTTACACATTAGCTATAGAGTGGATGCATGAAGCCCCATGACACCAGTAAACTTCTCTTACCAGTAGGTAAACCAAACACCATTCTGTCATTAGCAGCCCTCTTAAATGTTGCCTCTCCGTATCCTGTTGCATTTTTGTGTGCATTGTGTTTCTACTGATCTCTCTTAGGTTTTTACGGAATCAAAGGAAACTAATTTTTCCTTAATAGCAAGAAAGATGAAGAGGTAAAGGGCATTGAAGCAGAAATGTATAGTTTGGGGTACGATTAGAAAACTCGTAAGGAAAACAGAAGTCCTAATTTCAAACTGACTGCTCTTCGTTAAGTGCTCTTAAGGAGAGTCTAGTAACAGTAACACTTTCTGGCCATTTCTAGTTTAGATTCTCTTCGTTACTGAAACTTTTGAGAAATATTACCTGTGGATTAATTTTGCACAATGTTCTATTCTCATAATGACTTACAAATTAAACTAGGTTTTTATTGAACTACCTCACACTAATTTTCTATGCTTTCCCAAGTAAGCTGTTGCCCTGTTAGATCTTTACTGAGTGAATTATAAATGTGTGTTAAATACTTTCTAGCCAATGTTGACACAATACCAGTAAGTATGTAAAGTATATACCTTACATCAGTAAGAGACACGTGTAAAATCTTTGACTGTATGTCTTGCAAAATTGTGCTCGTTGACATTATTACTGTTTTTGTAAGTAGAAACCTGCTCGTGATATCGGTCCATTTACATTTTACAAAAGGAGTAAATCTTAGTAAAAATTTTACGAAGAAATAAATTACTTTTGTAGGCCCAATATTTGGTATATTTTTGAGAAGCTGTTAATCTTTTAGCTGAATAATGAAGTTAGACTGAATTACGTGTCTCCCTGGACTGTGACATCTATTTTCTCATTACAGTTTATCCTGGTCAGCAGGGTGTCACACCTGGAAACCTGAGTATGATAGCTGACATTTGCTTTTCTCCCTCTGCGATGTCATTCCTCCTCCATTCCTCTCCTTCCCTGTGTTCCGTTCCCTCTCCTTTCCTCTAGACAAAACAAAATGGGGCACTTTTTAGGGAATGCTGAGATCATTATTGTGGTTTTTCATCATTCATGCCCTAGTCATTAAACATGCACCACTGGAATGTAAACAATGTTATCTAGTATGTCAATTGGTTATAATATTTTAAATAAAAAAGAAAAAAGTGGTATGAAAATTATGAAATTAAGAGTTTTTTCATTGAAAACAAAATCTGTTTGTGGTAAAGTTTTTCTTGGCAATTTTAGGATTGTCCGTGGATTGGGATAAAAGGGGTCTTGCTAGGGCCGGTTTCTTAGATTTGGATTTTGTACAGATTGTAAAGAGCCTAAATGATCACGCTGATTATCTGGTTGATCTGGTCTTGGATTTCTGGTGTTTGAAATTGCTGGATAAACTTTATCTAAAAAAGGAACTTTGCTTCAATGCCCTTAACCTAGTTCTTGGTAGACATATGAGAGAACAGCCATCGTGACCACTTGGCAAAAATAAGTACTTAAAATTGGGGTCTGTTTCAAAACAAGCAAGAGGTTTTAGCTTTGACTGTTTCCAACTTTTGCCATGCTTATTTCCTCTTTGCCTACGTTGGGTCTGCTGCTGTGTGGGAATACAGGGTCCCTGCAGTACCTTCCCAGCCACTGTAATGACGCCACTCCGTCTTGCACAGTTCCTGCTCCAAATGACCTTTGTACCGTGCTGTCTGCCCTCACCTGAACTCACACTGCCCTCCTCTGAGGAGCGGAGAGGAAGGGGCTGATCTTTTAGCTGCCCGCTGCTGCTGGATCAGCTGCGTGGCAGCTGAGCTGTTTCATCACCGTCATAGAGAGGCCTCCCAGGAGAAACGGTAGCAGAAGCAAGTGTCAGAATGTTGGGAATAAACTTGTTTTTACTTTTTTTCATTTTCACCAGTTGTAAAGTGGAATAATTCATCCTCGTTAATTTAGGTACTTTTTTTTTTTCTTTTTCAGTATTGTTCCTGAAAAGGTCTATTAACTTGATCTAAGTGAAGATTGATTTGTAGTGATTTTGTGGTTTAAGAAAAATTTTTTTAGCTGTTAATGGTTATATACCAGTATTTCTTTGGACTTCATTTGAAACCAAAAGATACTTCAAATATGCTTTGTAAATTTTAGGTTTCTGTCTAACATGTACTTTACTTAATTTCATCCATTAATGGAAGCATATAAGTGACATAGAAGTGTGCCAGAAGCTGGGAGTAGGAAATAGAAAACGGATGACAAGAGTCTTGAAATGGTGTATATGGAGGAACAAGGACCTGGCCACAGGGATTGATTAGAGGAAATGAGAGGAGTTTCACAAAGAAACTGTGTTTTGACCCTTGGCATAAAGAAGGTTTGGAGAAGAGTATTCCAGGCTGAAGGAAAGGCAAGCAGATTTAAGTGAGTGCATGGGCAAGCAGTGAGGAACGGCCTGGCATGGGTGTAGGTACAGGGAGAAATGGGAGAGAAGACTGACACGCTGGAGTTTGGAATTGAAACAAGCTGAGGATCAGACCTGAAAATATCAAGAATTGCCTTTATTTTGTAGGTGATAGGAACCCATGGTAGTTTCTGAGGCGGAAAAAAAGTATTATGACCTGACCCTTGTTTTAGGATGGTCACTGCCAAGAGAAGCAAGTGCAGTTAGGCTGGAGGTGTGGACATTGGTGACTGATGGCCAAAGATAGCCAGTTGAGAGAAGGGAAGAAAGGGACTCATTTAGATGTATTGCCATGACATAGGTGAAGTCGCCAAGCTTAGCGTTTGGACCTGGGGGAAGGCTGAGCCTAGCGATTGGGCAGCACACAAGAGATGGTGCAAGGAAAATACATGCAGGGTGTTTTGCAATTTGTACATCTCAGTTTGAAATGTCCATGACAGAATGTATGTCAGGTATGGTATCAACTCCAACTTACCGCTCCAGGAGTGGGAGGAAGGGAACAATTGGTTTGCTCCCTCACCTGCCTGTAGACCTCTCTAATTGTAGTTTCTTTTCTTGTGAGGTCTGTGTTGTTTGCTTGTATGGCCCTTGCACTATTTTTGTTAGTATCATTTTGTGGACAGAGGAAGATAGTGGAAAGATTCCTGTTGGATATACCACTTTAGAGTTAACCTAGAGAAGTGCAAGTGGGGCCTAGTTCAAGTGAGTGGAGAAGCAGGTAGTGAAAAGGACTGAAAACTTGGATGGAAATGTAAAGAAGAAATCATGACAGTGTCTTGAGAGAAGTGAGGGGTAGACTGAGGGATCAGAAGAGTTCAAAGGGAGAAACCAAAGGCATTTTTTTTTTTTTTTTTTGAGACAGAGTCTCGCTCTGTCACCCAGGCTGGAGTGCAGTGACGTGATCTCCGCTCACTGCAAACTCCGCCTCCCAGGTTCATGCCATTCTCCTGCCTCAGCCTCCCAAGTAGCTGGGACTACAGGTGCCCGCCACCACACCCGGCTAATTTTTTTGTATTTTTAGTAGAGACAGGGTTTCACCATGTTAGCCAGGATGGTCTCAATCTCCTGACCTCGTGATCCACCCACCTCAGCCTCCCAAAGTGCTGGGATTACAGGCGTGAGCCACCGCGCCCGGCCAGGCACATGTGTTTTTATGAGACAGGGTCCTGGAAAGGTTGGGGTCTACTGGGTCCTGCGGGTCCAGGTGAGTTTTGTCAAGATGGAGAATTTAGGTCACCTCGGACAAGTGTCAATCTGGCTGAGCCATGCCTCTTACTGTTACTTGACAGCATCCTGTGTTCTCATCTTCTCTTGATGCCTCACACTGGGATCCCCTGGATGGAAGAGCCTGTCCTACTGGAGATAATGCCTGGCAAGTAGGTGTTCCATAAATGGTGGGCTGGGTAAGCTAATGACTAGAGCGTATCCTTTACACCATTTCTGTCCTCTGAAAATGCAACATTCATGGCCCTCAAAGTGTGACATGAGTACACTGCATGCAGCGCTGTGATATTATAGTGATGTGAGCATGGGCTCCGGTGCCAAATACCCACATAGCATCCTGCCCTCACTGGCTGCCTCACTCCCTGCAAGTGCCTCAACTCTGGGGCTGTGCTTTGTCATCTGTCCTGTGGGAAGCCTAATGTCACCTGGCAGTGTTGCTGGGAGGATTTGGCGTGTGCATGCAGGGCAGGGGGTGGCAAGTGCTCGGTGAGTGCTGGCTGCCGCCATCATCCTGACTGGTACCAGGCTCGGCTCAGCACCCTGGTGTACAGGTTCGTCAAGTCAAGCATCTGTCTCTCATGTCTCCTGGCATGGCAGCTATGTCTCTAGGCAAACATACCCAGAAGAGTTTGATGTGAACCAAGTGCTGTTGTTTCCCTCGATTTGATGTGTCACAAGGAAAAGATATTCTAGAACCTGAAGCCCACCCCCACCCACCACCAGTGTGCAGCTGAACCAATGAACCCACGTGCTGACCCCGAGGCTCCCCATCCCCATGGCCACTGCCACAGCCACCACCAGGCCTGGGCCCAGAAAAGTGCTCTACTCCTCAGTCCCTTGTCTCCTTTTACCACAGACCCTGCCCCTTGTCTCCTTTTACCACAGTGGACAGACATTTATCAAAAGCTCACTGAAAGAAGGGAAAGAGGAAATAATTATAGAAAAACACGTCTCTACCAGGCATTTTGGGCCAGCTGCTGCTGGTTTACTAAACTGGTGAGCTTTTTAACCAGCTGTGGCCTGAGTGCAGGGGCTTGGGATTTATGAAACCATTGGGTTAAGACCCAATGCCCAGATAGCATAGAGATTTAGCTGTCTTGGAGTGGGGTCATCAAGCCAGCTTGTCACATGCGGCAGGGGCAGGATGCGCATCTGGGCAGGCGGGCTCTGGAGTCTTTGCTTGGAAACTGCTGTGTTCTGCTTGAGAAGCTTTATGGGAATAAAAACGTCTCCTGCACAAAAGCTGGGGGATGCTATGTAAGGTAATCATGTTTGGCATTTTTCAGGACTTCTCAAAGACCGCTGTGCATTCCTATGAACCTGCCTGCAGCTCTCTCCCTGTCATTTGGGTCATTCGCAGCAGTGTACAGACATGCTCAAGAGTTCCCATCTTTCAAAAGCTTTCTCTTTCCCCTTCCATTATCAAAATGGAAGTCAATTCATGTGAGTTAATGTAAAGCTCTCAAATGCTTTCCTATTTCCCTTAGAATAAAAATAACCTCTCACCATGGGCGATAGGCCCTCAGAGTATCTGGCCCCTGCTAGGCTTTTCATGACCCCATCCTACCCTACCCCACTTCTTCACAGACTGCAACACATTGTGAGACCCCTGTGCTCAAGTGTTGCGGGGCTTGCTTTGGGAGACAGAAGTAGTAGCAATGTGGCTGGTAGAAAAGGATGGCAATCCTGGTGCAAGTGGGGGTTCTTGGTGGAGGCAGGAGTAAGGAGACACAGCAGCAGTGTGTGGCAATGTCACAGCTGCTTAGCTAGGAACTCAAGACACCCGTGAGAGAATTACTTAGGATACTGGGAGGGCTCTGCAGGGGCCTGGGGTTCTGCATCAAAAGGAGAAGGAGAGAGTCCGGGAAATGTTGTTACTGACTCCATTTTTACCCACAGACCAGGGAAACATGGATATATGGGTTCCATTCCGAAATTCCTTCAGGAATAAGATTCATTCCTGGTCCATCACTCAAAAGCCAATTAAGACAAGGAATCTTCCTTTTCTTTCTATTTCTGTTTCTCACACACACATACCCATAAAATTGTATTTTAACTTTAAAGAACATGTGCATTCATTTGTTATTCTTTTAACATAAGACAACTCTTTGTTTTTTTAGTGAGACATTCACAATTTCCAGTATTTCTTTAAAGTCAAACACAAGTTTTACGACACTGTTGAAGTATTCTGAGAGCAGAATCCCAGATTCTTCCCATTTCTCGCTATTGCATGTTTCACTCATCCATGCTTAATTTGACAATATTTTTTAGCAACGTGCCTCTACTGAGTCTGTCTAAAGCATTCTAGGGTTTCGATGAATCAATTCCCTACCTTTTCATGTTCATAATTCATGTAATTCATGAGTCTACTTCATATTAAATGATGTAATTACAATAACAAGTACAATGGGAATCTGTCAGTTTGGGACCAGGTTCAGCAAATGTAACTCAATTGAGAGAAGTGGGTAGTGGTGGGGATACTAGAGCCCCCGCGACAGGTCAGCCTCTGTCACTCAGTGTGCCTGACAGTCAAGTCAGATGTTTTACAGATAAGATGCCCAGTGCTGGTTACACAGAGATTGGAGAACAGAACTGAATAATCATGCCAATTCATTTTGAGATAAGAATGCCATTTGCAGATCCTACTTAGCCAACAGGTGGCAGATGTGGCTCAGGCATTCATGAGCTCCTATCCCTACTGGGGACTCAGCAGGAGCCTAAGCCTTTGCCAGGATTAATGGTTGAGACAGACAGACAAGCTTCCTTTCATCATGGGAAACCCATTTCAGTCTCCTCTGCTCCTTTGATAGCCTGGTGGCATTTTCTCTCCAGGTCAAAAATCAGCAGAATTCCATAGCTGTGGCGAGAAAACTCAACAGGGTCATCAGGACGCACTGCTGTTCCCACCCAATTTCTCCAAGCCTCCGTTTCTCCTCTGAATATGGATAATAGGGCCAATTTTCTACTTCACTGCATTGCTGTGAGGACTCAAAGTCACCTCCTATTCTCTTCTCTCTCCTTGAGTAGAGGGGAGGGTAGCATCTCAACACCAGGGAAAAATCCCATCACCCAGACGGCTGGCTCGCGTGTCAGTGGCCGAGCAAAGACAGACGCCACTCTCCCCAGCCCCTCCTGAGCTCCGGCATCCAGACCTTGATGCTGCTGAGGGCCCTGAGCAGGTGCCCGCCTCCTGGTGGACGAGCCCCTGGTAGCTGCCTGGAGACAATGGGTAGCTGGCCACACTGTGGGAGCTGCCCTGCCTGCCTCACCCTGCGGGCCTGCCTTCCTGGCAGGAAGCCAGCATTTCCTGGGAGCACTGAGCCCCTGGCATTTAAAGCATCAGATGTGGGCAACATTTATACCTGACTCTAGATGGAGCTCGTTGGGCCTGAGTGACATTTCTAGAGGCTGTGGTCAGAAACTGGGCGCTCTGGTGACCACTGCTCCCTGAACAAACCCCTGCAGGTTACTGCTCAGGGGCAGCAAGGGGCCAGCCACACATCAGGACACCGTGAGGGGAGCAGGTGAAGACAGTGGTCTGACACTGCTGGTCCCAGAGGCGCTGCTGTGCTGCCTCCTGAAGCACAGTCCAGGAGCTCCAGCTGGGCCTGGCCTGGGTGCCCTGTGGGTGGGAAAGGCTTTCTGGAGGGATTTGCCCTAATGGAGCCTTCAAGTCTGTGGATAAGCCAGAGTAGGGGGGTGAACAGCAGGGAAGCGGGGGCTGGAAGGGAGCTGGGCAGGCGCCCAGAGTGAGGCATAGGCACCTGGAGTACGGTGAACAGACGTTTCCCATGGCCTTGGCTCAGCCCTCCTGTAGAGTGGCCACACTTGCCCACACCTCGCCCAAGCACAGCATCTGTGCTGGGTGCCCACTCAGGCTCTGGCCCTGGAGCAGAGCTAGGGCCATGGTGGAAAGCCCAGGGGACCTCCCAAGACAGAAACTAGCTGCAGAGGTCCAGATGGCTACGGGGCGGGGGGGAGTAAAGAAAGGCATCCCACCTGGAACATGCAGACGAGACAGCTGAAAGCACAAGGCTGTTGCCCCTTGGGGGGCTTCACGTCCCACTTCACAATGCCTGTGCTATTCCACCCAGGGGCATACCTCAGGGGGCTCCTAGCCCTTGGAGAAACAGGAGTGGTCCTGTATTGTGTCCTGTATTGCGAGGCATGAAAAATGAGCCAGGTAACAAGGCACCATGCTTTGTGAGCACATTTAATAAAGAAAGCTGACTGTTCCCGGTGGCTGCCTGGATCCTGGGCGCCCTCCATTTCTGTGGCCATGAAGGATATTTCCTGGGTAAGGGCTAAGCGCTACTCTTGGTACCGTCCCCTTCTGACCCTCACCAGGAACTGCATGGTTGGAGCAGCATCTGATCCCACCTGGAGTGTGTGGGGTCCCAAAAGTCCCCACAGTCCCCACAGAGGTATCAGGATCTCTCTCTCTCCAGCTGGCTCCAGAGCGCCTGGCTGCTCCAGAGATACAGACGCTTCTAACTCCATACAAGGCTGGAGACCAGCAGACGTGGTACAGAAGTGAGCTCTGCCATTCCTTTTACTTTGGGGCCCTGGCACCTTTTGCCCCAACAGTCAAGCTTCCTAGGGTCGAAAAAAACTCCTCCATTTCCCTCTGCAACAGCTGGTTCCTCCTCTCCGCATCCTCCCGCGCCCGTTCAGAGTTCCGCAGCTTTATTTCCAGCATGATGTATTTTTTCTTTTCCTGGTCCAGTTCTTCTTCTAACCGGGACATTCGTTTTCTCAGGTCAGCACTCCCTTCTTCGATTCTGAAAAGTCAAGGAGAGATGCTGTTTGAGACTCTGCGGGCCAGGTTCACTGTCCCATGGGTATACCATGCTTGTGCTCACTGTGGGTTGAGGGGTCAGGCCAAGCCATGGCGGCAGGAGGAAACCCTGGCTCATCTGCTCCTCACAAGAACCCCAGTACTTCACCCATGAGCAAATTGCCCCCTGCCATAGCTCCCCTAGCTCCTCTGGGCCTGTGATCCCGAAATGCCAACACAATGATCCATGCCTTCGGTGCCTCCCTGGGTCCGCATTTGCCCCTCCAGTGCAGTATGGGATCCCTGCCAGCTGGTAGGAACAGTACAGGCCCCTGCATGGGGAGGGTTGGGACTCGGACTGTCCCCTGGCCTTTGCTCCTGTGCTGTGGCCTCCCCTCCCACAGCTCCCTGCAGCTCCCCACACTGTCCCCATGATCCAGCCACACGTGGTGACCCACAGAAGATCCTGTGGGGTAGTCACTTCCCTTCCTGCTCTCCCGTCATGTTCAGCTCAAGCGCCCCCTCCATGATGCTACTTCCTGTGATCCTCCCCAGCAGGTCACAATGGTGCTCCTCTGTGCCACCAGAGCCTATACCACACGCTTCCATGCAGGCTCATGCTGCAGTGTGCCAAGGTTGGCATGGCCATCTTTTTGACCAGACAACCAGCTTCTGTCTTTCCGAAGGGACACACCTGAGCCCAGCCCCTGGGAACATATGCTGGATTTTAATGCCCAGCCTGGTGACCTCTGAGCCACATGGCTGTGGACAGGACACAAGCCACAGTGAAATGCAGAGGGTAACTGCTCCTCAGAGCACTGGTAACCATGGACTGGAACATGCCAGGGGCCAGCACAGCACCTGGTACGTGGTGCATGATGAATAAACACGGATTCCTCAACCCACCAAAACGAAGCCTCCATCCTCATCACTGAGCTTGAAGCATGGCCTGAGCCCTCCCTACCAGGATCACAGACAGCTGTCAGAGAGAAGCCACCCACCTCCCCACTGCTGCCCCTGGCTCGGGCCTGGACCTCCCCTCTTCCTTCTCTGTCAGGCTCAAGACTCCAAGCCCCAACTACACGCTGATGACCCTGCACCATTTCATCAGCATCTCTGACTTAAAGGGTCCTGACCCTCATCTCCAGACCACTCTTCCGCAGCCCTGGTGCACTCTTGGTGAACACCTTCCCTCAGCTGCTCAGCTGAACAATGATGTCCTCCCCTAAGTCCATTCTTTTTCTCGGTCCCATATCTGATCAGTTAGCAAAACCTTTTGGCTCTACCTTCAAAATATGCTCAGCACCTGGCCGCTTCCCCCACCTCCACCTGCTGCCCCATAGGGCCACACCCCCCATAGGTCAGGCCTAGACCCCCACACCTCCTAACTGGTCTGTTCTGCCCTTGTCCCCTGGCAAGCTCTGCTCGGCATGGCACCCAGGTGCACCTGTCAAAGTGCCCAATGTGCCAAGACCCTCCAGCGGCTTCTCACTTCATTCTCATCTCACTCCACGAAAAACCAGAGCATTGCCCAGGCCAAAAGGCCCCACCCATTGCCCCCTCCCCACACATCTCCAGTCCCCAGCCCCTGACTCTCCCCCACTACAGGGGTCTTGGGGTCAGTGCTGGCTGCAGCTCTGGGGTCTCCTTCCCAGGGCCCTCCAACCTTCTACCCTGAGGCTCCTCTCCGCTCCCCTCCATGCTGCTCTATGTTCCCCTCCTTCATCTCCCTTTTAACACACCGTGTATTTTTAAAAATGTATCGTGCTTATGGTCTTTGTCTCCCTGCAACCCAAATAAGAATGGGGACAGAGATTTTGATCAGTTTTCACCCCAACTGTGGCCACCTGCACAGCATCTGGTACTTCACAGAAAACAGGTTCTCTTTTGGGAATGCACGAAGGAAGGCTGACTTCCCAGCAGGGCCCTGGGGAGGGGCTCTGACCAGAGTCCTGGGAGCCAGGACAAGGCCAGCCTCACCCCACCCCCCACCCGATGGCCCATACTTCCAGAGAACAGGACACACATTCCCCAATCACCTGCTGGACAGGACAGGTGCTAATGCCCTCACCTTCCTTCCTGTGCTCAGAGACCTTCCTCACTCTAGACCCTCCCTCTAACCAAGACAACGACCCAGACCACTCTGCTAGCGAGTACAGTCCCTCCACAAGGGCTACCACTGCTATCCCTTTTCCTCTGGGAACCTCATCTTACCTCCAGCCACCAGGCAGGAGTCAATGCGAGCAGCAAAGTTTCCCGAGCGCTCTCATCCACTGTGAGTCACTTAATACTCAGGACAAATGGGTGAGGTCACTGGGGCCCAAAGATCCTGCCAGGGACACTCAGCCAATCCCTGGTGGAGCTGGGACTAGAATCCAAGTAGTCTGACCTGGAGTCAAAGAGCCCTGCATCTCCCTTGAGAAACCAGGCCTCAGAGCAGGCCAGAGGAGCTCCAGGCACTCAGCACACAACTGGCGCAGCTGGTCCAGCCCAGCCTTCTGCATGGACAGCCTTCTGTATGGTAAGAGTTCCCATGTACCCTGTAGTTTGGTCTGTGAGCTCATCTGCAGCAGATAGCATCTTCTACTATATTTCTGGAGGCCCTTGGGTTCTACTGATGCTATTTCCTTTCTCGGCTCCATCCTATGGGTCCTTCCAGCCCTGGCTCAGGCACTGCCTGCTGTGACTTCCCCCATGGCAGAGGCCTCTGCCCTCAAGGTCCCTCTCCTTCTCTTCCTTTTGCAGACATGGTGCCTGTACATGCCTGGCACTCTCCATCACCCAGGGAACAGCTGTCAGCAGAGCAAAAGGGCAAGGGCTGCCATTCCAGCTCCCAGTGGAAATCACAGGCTCAGAGTGGGCAGCAGGAATGCCTTCCACCTCCATCCACTGCCTCTAATGGATAAAGGAATTCCCTGCTAGTGGGTGGGACCCAGGTGAACAGGTCGGCCAGCTAACGGGGACCTGCAGCCAGAGGGACCAAGGAGTCTGAGATGCTGAGGGAAACGCCCTGCGCTGGAGAACCTGGTCTCCAGGAGCTGAGGTTCCTCACTGCAGAGGGCAACCCCGGTCCTCATGGGAGGCTGGAACTCTGGCCCTCTGTTAGTGAGATTGTAAGCCTCAGGGTGCAGCACAACCATCCTGTGACAAGGGCGGACACGAGGGCTTGGTTCAGCAGGGAAACTGGATTCTGATCCCATCAAGGAAGGGGTCCTCACTTCCAGCCTGGCTGACCTGGGGCCTGGGCACTTCCTGGCACTCAGCATCCAGGCTATGAGCCCTTGTACTGGGACAAGCCTGGGACCTGCCTCCAGGGGCCGCCCCCTCCCTGGCTGCAGACTGCACACTGACTCTGTTTCCACCCCTGCAGCAAAGGTCCCCGGCAGGCTGGGCAGGCATTCCCACTTGCGTGGAGTCAGCAGGCCTCTGCAGCGCTGACTGCGTGCCAGACTGACTGCGTGCCAGACTGACTGTGTGCCAAGTCTGCCAGTCCTAGGGCTTTCCCAGAGCTAGGATTCCCCTCTCTGAGGCTGGCTTCCAGGGCCAGCGGCCCAGAGGTTAGGGGCCGACGCCCATGTGCCAAGAGCACGGCTCTCCCTGCAGGCTCCGCCCCGTCACAGGAGGCTCCACGGGGCAGCAAGTTACCTTTTCACACTCCTCTCGTACTCAGTCCGCTGGCGGCACAGCTCGGCCCTGAGCTCAGTGACCAGCCCCTGTAAGGCCTCGGAGCGGCGCGCGTGTTCCCGGGTGGGGCTGTCCGGCTCGCTGGGCTCGCTGTTGCTGGCACCCGCGCCCGCCTCGTCCATGCTGTGGTCCAGGTCCAGGGACTTGGGGTCCTCGCTGCTGCTGGGGAGCGGGGAGGGCTCCAGGGCCCAGTCGGTGTGCAGGGAACTGCGGGCAGACGAGTCGCTGGCGCGGCAGGCCGTGCAGCTGCTGAGTGAGCCCCCCACCGACGACTCGCTGGACGAGGCCCCGGACCACGCCATACTGGCCACGCTGGGTATGCCGGGGACCAGGCCCGGCGCGGGCACATTGTCGTAGGTGGAGAGTCTCTGCACGGAGCCCGAGTCCTTGAGCCGGTCTCCCGACGAGGCCCGGCGGTGTCCGCGCAGGGAGGACAGCCCGTTCATAAGCCAGTTCCCGCCGGAGGAGATGATGGGCACCTCCAGGGATGAGCCGCCCCCCTTCGGGCTTCCCGATAGGGACCTCGGCTGCCGGAAGGAGGACTTCCAACTGGGCAGGGTCTGCACCTTCTTCCCAGGGCTGCACCGGCTCCCCGGCCCCGTGGGGGCTGTTCTGGAGAGCACCGCCACGGCCGCCCCGTCCAGGGAAGAGGTCCTGTGCGCGGGCAGGCCGGGGCCGCCGGGCTCTCCTTGGCTGTCCCTGGTGACCTCCTCGGAGCCCCACCCCACTGCGCATTGCAGGCCCCCGCGCGGGGAGGTGGGCCCTTCCGGGACCGGTGCCGTGAAGAGCTGGCTGTGTTTGCGGATGAGGACGGTCATCAGGTGCTGGACGAGGGAAGTGCCTGCCGGGAAGAGAGGCGGAGAAGGGCCTTGCTGCCAGCCACTCGGCCCAGGCTCGCTCTGCCAGTCATGGAGAAGCTGCAGCTTCGTGGGAGCTGGCCCTGTCCCCAGAGCCAGGCCGCCCCTCAAGGGAGCCTTCATCCGCCCAGAGGAAAGGACCACACACCCTCCAACTCCAGGCAGGACAGCAGGATGGGGCCGCAGAACCGCCTTCCTCAGGCACAGAGCCGCAAGCAGGGAGGAAGCACTGTGCCTGCGCTCACGCCCTCCAGCTGGGGTGGGGTGAGGAAGCAGGCACCAAGGCTGCACGGTGAGCAGGTGGCAGGTTGGAACTGGAACCTGGGACCTGAGATGCCAGAACTCTCTCGGCTGCCCCACGTCACCCCTCTGTGCTGCTGACAACTGCCATGCCTGAATGTCCACACTCTGGGAGCATAGGGCTCTGGGACAGGGAATAGAGCCATCTTTCCTGTGTGGGGGCACACACATACAATTGCACACACAATGCACCCCGCCCACCCCCTAAAATACCCCCCACAATCACACGTACAATGCACCCCATCCACCCCCAAAGTCCCACACACACACACAACTGGACAATGCACCCACCCAGCCTCCCCAAATCCCCCAACACACAATCGCACATACAATGCCCACTCCCGAAAATCCCACACACATAAAATTACACACACAATGCACTCTACCCAGTTTCCCCAAAGCCCCTACACACACACAAGTGAACACACAAATCCCCTACCCAGCCTCCCCAAATCCCCCCATACAGAATCGCACAATGAACCCCACCCACTGCCCAAAATCCGCCACACACAATTGCACACACAATGCACCCTCCGCAGCCTCCCCAAATTCCCCCATACACAACTGCACACATAGTGCACCCTGCTCACCCCCCAGAATCCCACATACATATAATCTCGCACACACACAATCCCCCGTGTCTAGGCCAAGGCCCCTGAGATGCAGCCCCCAGTCCTGGGGACTCAGTTCCTACGGTGGTGGGGTGGGGGCCTGCAGCGGAGGTGGGCAGTGCAGGAAGGACCAGGGCATCTATCCAGCTGCCTCATTCCCTCCTGCCACCCTCACCACAAAGGCCCGACGCTAGGAGGTCCCCCGGTAGGAGGGAGGGCTGAGTGCCAGGGTGGACTCTCCCACTGAAGTTGACTAGGAATCCTGGAAGAAGTCAAGGAAGGAATTCTGAGGCCAAGAACCTAGGTGAAGCAGGAACTCCATGAAGCAGGCAGGGCAGGCCTCCTCCCTCAAGCATCTGTACCACCAGGCAGGTAGGAGCTTGTGTTTTCCTGGCCTCAAGGGGCCCTGGGGTGGGAGACCCAGCCAGGGCTGACCAAAGTGCGGACTTGAGCAAAAGCACTCCGCCACGTCCCTCAACATGGGATAAGGGCAAGAACAGCCTCAGCTGTGGGCTTCCTGTCTGAGCAGCACGTCTCTCATGCATACTCCACTGGGGACAGTGTTCCATGGGCCCTATGAGGTGGGCTGTCTTTTCTATGGCAGCCTACACCTGTGCCCTTTGCTAAGTCTGGCTGACTGGCCTCTGGTGAGTCCCCTCGCCTCTCTTGGCCTCAGTTTCCTCATCTGTAAAGTGGGGGCGATTACCACAGCACAGGCTGGTTGTAAAGCCTGAAATGAGATGATACAAACAAAGCACTTGGTAGAAGCTTACTGAAAGCGGCTGCTGTTGCTGCTATTTTTAATCACTTATTGTTATTTATCATAGAGAAATTCTCCAGGGTTTGCAAAGCTGACATCCAGGAACCTATGACAATTGCTTAATTGTAAAAGAAAAGCAAACATGTCTGTGTTCAAGGGCAAAAGTGCTGACCTCTCCCATCCCTCCAGCCTCTTCCATCCACAGAAACCCCTGGCTATTCTAATTGCACCCAGTGACCTGCTGCTGCCCATCGCAGGGCAAAGTTCCTTTTTTATCTTATAGCTGAACCTCATGGGGGTCGGGGGTGAGGTCTGCAGAAGTTCCTGCCAAGTCCCCAGAGATGGAGATGTGCCACCTGAGCCACCCCTCCTGCTGGCCTGGCCCTGGGCTGGGATGGTTCCAAGGACTTGCCGTGGACCAAGATGAGCCCAGACCCCGGCAGCACCCAGGGCCACCAGGTACACCTCCCACTTACCTTCCATGATGGTTACTGGGTCCTCTACCTGTGGCCGCAGAATGTTAGGTCCAAAAACGGTTGCCAGATTCTGGACACTCATCTTGTTGACATTTGAGTATGCCTGAACTTCATCCAGAAACCTGCAAAGTAAGGAAGCAGCAGTCATCAAAGAAGCAAGTTGTGATGCCCAGTCTCCTGTGTGCGGCCTGGACGCACCGCCACACCCCTGCTGAGCCCTGCTGCCTGTGGGCTTTTGCCCACTGGGTGTAGCCTGCCTCTGCCAGGCTCGATGAGGGAAGGCTTCCCCTGGGGCCCAAGAGGGCCATCAGAAGTAAAAGTCACTGGGACAAGGGCCCACCGCTATTTGTGTGAAAGGAGGACAAGACTCTGCAAATTGTAGTGGGCACAAATTCTGGGAAGTCCCAGACCCCAGTCAGCGCCGCCCCTGCATTCCCCTTCTCAGTGTCTAGGATGGGGATACATGAAGGGTTGGGGTCAAGGGGCAGATGCCGGGGGGACAGGATGGCAAGAGGCACCCAGGAGGGACAGAGGGTATGTCCCTTCTGGAATTATCTACCCAGGTCTGTTTAAAACCAGCTGCTCCCATGGGACTGTAAGCTTCGTGAACTCAGGGTCTGTGCTTTTCCACTCCCTGCTTCGTCCACGCTGGGTTGAGGCTGTGCAGGGTGGGGAATGACCCGGGCCCCCCTCTGACAAGGAAGAGTTGCGTGTCTCGCTGTGGGGTTGGGGGAGCGTGGAGCCAGTGCAGGAAAGTGTGGTTCCCTCCTGCCAAGCCGCTTACTTGCAGATGTATCTGAGCAGGTTGTAATTTGCCTGAGGAAGGTTGCTCACTTGTTTAGCCAACTCCAGAGTGCCCTTAGGAATGAAGAACAGAATTTCAAACACCGGCAATGAGGGCCCTGACTGTTCTCTGACTGCGAGGAGGGGTGGGCAAAGAGAAGGGAGGTGGGGGCTACGGCAGCCCAGCCCCAACAGACCAGAGGGCTCCACCACCTCCACCTCCCCTCAAGGAGTGGCCAGGGCCCAGCTGTGACCTCCTGGGAAGCTAACTTGCTTCCAAGGAGCTGGTGTGAGGGGTGAGCCTCTACAGGGCCCGTGGAGGAATGTCAGGGCCAGCACTCAGCTCACTTATCAAGACACAAATATTTGCCAGATAGTGAGCCCTCATCTCCCACATGGCCGCAGGGAAGGCAAACAGTCCTTCCCTGGCCCTGAGCCACCTGGGGCTGCAGACCAGCACCTGCACGGGTGGGGACGGGAGGGCTGGCTCATCTGTCCTGGGAGCCAGCTCAAATTCTTTTGGGAAGGAAGCAAGATATAAATAAAAGATGTCCTGGTTTCTGAGCCTGTGACGGGCCTGAGTGGCCTGAGTCGGGTGTGGGGAGTGTGAGCACCTACTGGTGTGACAGCCAGAGCTGGGCACACCGGACCCACCCCTCCCAGGGACCAAGGCCGCAGACAGGTATGGCTCCAGACAGCAGGATTCCCCAGCCCTCCCCGACCTGAGCAGGATGCCCTGGCCCCTCCCCCACCCAAGCAGGATGCTCCAGGCCCCCACCACACCCCCAACACAGCAGGCCTCCACAGGATCCATGTGCCATGAAAATTCATGAAAAGTCAGAGTCTGTGTCCTGAGTCTACAGGCTGCCACCCAGCCAGCCCATCTCCCAGGAGCTATCCCCAGGAGCCACTGACCTCCCCCTCGTCCTTGGTGAGCAGCTGGGCGCAGCTGAGGAAGTCCTCGTACCTGGCGAAGGGGACCACGGGCTCGGGGAGCTCCCGCAGGTACAGCTTCAGCAGGGAGGCCACCGTGTGCACGTCTGTTGTGCTGTGGGGGGGAAGAGGACAGGTGTGTGAGGCCTGGGATGCCAGGGGACTTCAGGGGTGACTGGTACGCCCTGACGCCAAGGGGCAGCCTCTGGTCTCAGGTGCATTCTTGGGCGCACTGGGGGCTGCATCTGCGGCCAGCTGCCCTGGTCAAGGAAAGGCCAGTGCTGCTTCTGGGAGCAGTGGATAGAGCTGGGGCAGGGACGACTAAGTATCCATGGCCAGGAGCTCCAGCTCAGGGACCACCCATCATGCCTAGGCACCTGCTCAGAATCCCTGAGTCTCATGTCTGTGTCAGTCCGTCCAGAACCTGTCCTGCGTAGACTGCGTAGGACTCCAGGAACTGTGAAGCCACAGGGCCCTGCAGGGCACAGCTGCTCCACCCTAGCAGCTGCCCTGGGCCAGAGGAATCAAGTGTGATGCAGGTCAGGTTGCACAGGGGAGGGCCCTGGGACATGGGCCAGGGAGCCCCTTCCACAGGCCTGGTGGCCATCCCAAGGTCCCCTGCAAGACGATGTGGGAGCTGCCTGCTCTGCGGTAGGAACAGCTATCCTGCAGGCCCTCCATAGGTGCTGCCAACCCCCAGCCCGAGCTTGCCCTCTCCACTGCACTTGACTTTGGCTGGAGTGGGAGGAGCTGCATCAAAGGCGCCCACAATGCAGGGCTGCTGGCTCCTTGTTGGGGAGCAGGTATCCGGGGACCAACAGCAGGAGCAGGTCGGAGGTCAGGCCCTTTCCTCTCTTCCTGTCCACAGTGGTGACACCTAGGCTTCTAAGCTCATCACCCCCTCTCCAGTGCCCCAGGAGTCCACTCCAGGCCTCAGTCTCCCGCTCTGGCTCGGAGCTGCCAAGGCAGAAGTAGACCAGTTGTGGATGGTGGTGGCAATGGGCCTGGCATAGTCCTTCCCTGGGTCCTGTGTGGGGTCTGCAGTTCAGGTCCTAAACGAGAGCCTTGGCATCTCCTCCGAGCTTGCGTTCCAAGCCGTATATGGGCCCCAGGTTGTTCATCTGCTTGTCTAGAACCATGGACTTAAACCCTGGGCTGCATTTCCCTCAGGAAAGATGAGACGGGGCCAGGAGACTGTGGCTGTGCCATTATGCTATCACCTGATCCCGGATGAATCCCAGGCTAGGCTCACTGAGATAAATACCTTCTGGCCCTGACATTTGGGATTCTGGGGTTCCATGTATCCATATGCACCCCAAATCCATATACCTGGGGCCCCTCCTTGCCTGAGGCTCAGTGACTCTTGGTCTGGCTGGATCCAGGCAGCCCCCATCCCACCCTCCTTCCATCTCCAGCCAGGCATGCTGCTATCACACCCTCCTCGGCCTTCTCCCGGGCCATGTTCCTGGCCAACTGCCCTGGGTACCCAGGCTTGAGCCCAGCGGCCCCTTCCCCACTGGGAGCCCGTGGCTTCAGTGGCAGCCTGAGTGGAGCGCAAGAGACTGGGGGAAGGGCAGGAGGCAGGGAAGTGTGGTTGGCAGCCAGCCCGTATGTCTTCCCCTTTTCTGCAGCTGGGGGGATGGGAGCATTTCTGCCCTGGGTGAGTGGACACAGAGCCACCCCTCCTCTGCAGACCTGCCCGGCTGCATCCCTGCCCCGCAGGGTCCTGCTGCTTGGCCCTGCCTGACCCCCTATCCGCTCAGTACCTGAGCTCTTACTTCCTTTCCTCGTCCCTCCCTCCCTCCCTCCCTCCTTCCCCACTGCAGTGCCTTTCCTCCAACAGCTGTCACCAGGCCTTTTCTTGAGACTTTTCCCTAAACTGCTGTCCCCTTCCCCCCTCCAACAAGCACCCAAGGAGAACTCTGTACAGCCCGTGGTCCTGTGGGCGCCTCCCCAGCCTGTGGGCCTCCCAGCATGCGGCGACATTAGCGCAGGCGGAGGGTGGGGGCAGGGGTGGGGCAGAAAGGGCAGCAGCTGGTCAGGGGACGAGGTGCCTGCCCTGGGGACAAAGAGGCCCTGGTGGTCAGTGCAGCCCGCAGCAAGGTGACCCTCCATCTGCAGGTTCCTCGTCACCTCTCTGTACCCAGGGAACCCCCCGCCCACGCCAACACCGGCATCTATGCAGAACACGCCATGCCTCCAGCCTGGTCCTGACTCGCCTCACTCCCCTAGAGTCCGTTTCTCATCACCCATCCCCACTTCCTCGACCTGCCCCCCAGCCGGGCCGCCTGCTTCACCCCACCTGGGTGTCCGCAGGGCTCCTCCCTGAGCAGCCCAGCCCTGCCATCTGCAGCACCCTGGGAGGTTCCCTACCACTAGGCCCGGGACTGGTGTCCCTGGTGTTTACTTGTTATCTGTCAAGACCCACCCCCCTTAGAATTTCTAATGCATGTGGGTGCCCCTCCACCCCTAGGCCTCCCAGTGCTCCCTCCCTCAAAGGATAGCAGCTGAGGGAGTAAGGAGAGCCTGGCGGCCAGGAGTCCATGCAGCCCTAGGCTCCGGCCCACAGGAGGCTGTCCTCAGAGCTCAGCAGCAGGGTGGCAACCCGGGAGACTGACAGCCCAGTGCCCAGGGGACACTGTGCTGGGAAGGGGCAAGTATGGGACAGCTCCAGGCACTGAGGCTTCCAGGCCTGGTGAGGCTTTAGCAGAAGAGAAGCCCAGGACCTGGGGCTAAAGGGGACCTTCTTATAGAGATGAGCAGGAAAGTGAGGAGGGGGCTTCCTGCGGAAGGGGCCAGGACAGAAGCCAACACCCCAGCAGGCAGGCAGGCTATGGCCTTGGGGAGAGAGCTCCATCCCGGGACCCTCTGTTGGAAGTGGGTGAGGAGGAGACCCTCTGTTGGGGGTGGGTAGGGAGGGGGGACCTTCTGTTGGGGTTGGGTGGGAAGGGGGGCCTCCCTCAGGGGTGGGTGGGGAGGGCCCCTCTGTGGGTACAGCTGCAGAGCCAGAGGAGCTGCCATGGAAATGGCAGAAAGTGGGAAGGATGGCCTCAGATACCCCAGGAGGAGTTTCTAAAGGGAGAGGAAACCAAAGCCCAGGGCCACCGTGGCAGTATGGGGGTCACTGCTGAGATGGGGGTGGAGGGACAAGGCCAACATGCCCACCATGGAGATGGCCCTCCTGACACAATTCCAGAAGCAGGGTAGAAGCAGCCAGAGAGGGAGAAGGCAGACAGGGGAGGGCCTCCAAGACATAGGGAAGGCTGCCCCAGGCTGCTGGGAGGCCGAGAGTCAGGTCTGCATGGAACCCACCCTAGGGTGCCCAGCTGCCTCTCAAGGGGGCTTCAGCAGGCAGGCCAGGTGGAGAAAGGAGGCTGAGCATGCCAGGAACCACACCTTGGGAGAGCAGGTGTGCCCAGGTGGAGACCCCCCCAGCAGGATGGGAGAAGCTTGGCAGTGTGGGTGAGGCGCAGACGGCCTGTGCCACTCCAGGGAGCCCCAGCAGAGTTTGAGTAGGGGAGTGGCAAGGTCTGATCTGTGTCTGCAGAAGCCCCTCAGGTAGCATCAGGCACTAGGGCAGAGCATCTGATCCTGGGGAGCTTCCAAAAGTCTCGGCTCCCAGGCCTTACCCAGGTGACATTATTTGAAGCAATCTGCAACCCTAACGCTGAGACACAGGATGGAAGAGGCCTGGCTGGCTGAGGTTCAGAATGGACGACAAGCTCACTGAGCGTCAACACTGGGATGGAGCTTCACAAAGCTCCAGAGGAAGGGTCCCCCGTACCTCCCTGGGTGGAGCACCGCTAGGGAACAGTGGTCAGTCCTGGACTCCACATCTAAGGAGAGGAGCTGACACCCTCCCCTGGCTGCAGTGACGGGCCTGGGAAAGAGCTGAGGGGCTGAGTGTTCTGCCCCCAGAGGAGAAGCCCTGGGAGGCCAGGGCTGCCTGCAGGTCCTGGTGGGCCCATCCTGGGGCAGATCCAAGAAGACAGGGCATAAGCCCCATGGAGGGTAGTTTTTCCTGATGTAGAGAGAACTCTATGAAAAAACTGCCCCATAATGGGTGGGGGCACTGTCAGGGGAAACAGAATCCCCAAACGGCCCTAGGCTGGGGGTATAGTTGGCTCCACCCAGGGGCATCCAGGGCCTGGGTAAGCCCCCATGATGGGTAGGATGGACATGGCCCCGGCCCCAGAGCAGATGGAGGAGACTCGCTCTCCTGTCCCCAGAACCCAAAAGGAGGGGAGCCGAGCTGCTGTGCCATCTTGCCATTGATAGAGCCTGGGGGTAGGTCACCGGAGGAAGCACGGCCAAGAGACAGACCCCGCAGAAGGCCTGGGGTCCGGATGCAGCTGCGCCTGGTCAGTCCTCACATGGGAGCCAGCAGAGGTCCTTTTCTTCCTGCCTGGGTCAGGTTTATTAGCATGTGCAGGGGAGGCAGGCTGTGTGGATGTGAGCTGGCCTCGTGCATGGCAGGCATCCATCCTGAGAGGGGACCCCGGGCTGGCGGAGTGAGGGTGTGCCCTACACTCTGCCCACTAGGAGGGCTGGCCCACCATCCTGTCGCTAGCCCACCCCTGCCCACTGGAGCTGGTGTCCTGGGCAGGAGCCCCTGCAGGAGGAATGGACAAATGGCTCCACCTTACCCCCGATCACAAGCTCACCTGTCAAACAGTGGCTTCTCCCCACAGTCGAAGGAATCCTGCAGGTCCCTCACCAGGTTGGCCTGGCCTGGCATGCGGAACAGCCCCTCCTCAGTGAGCCCGCGCTCCCGGATGAAGTCCACACACTGCTCCACCAGCAGGGGCGCCAGGCGGGGGCCATACTTCCGCTCGTGGTGGACTGTTTCCTCTAGGCGCTGCCCAAAGATCCCTGAGCACAGAGAGGAGCTAGTCACACCCTCCACCACCCAGCTCAGTGTTGGGTGCTCAGGACAATGGAGGGCAGGCGCACTGTTAGGGCTAAAGGTGGCTCCTCCTCAGGAAGCAAATTACACACTGGGAGGATGCATACCAGAAGGCTGTGCCCTGGCCGCCCGGACACATGCTGGGAGGATGCACACCAGGAGGCTGGGCCCTGGGCTGCCTGTGGACAGACAGCAGGAGGGAGCAGTGAGATGGTGGTGTGACCTGGCCATGGAGCTTGCCCAAGCCAGGAGCAAATGGCCCTTGGGAGCGTTCATTATGCCTGTCATTGATTGGTTTTGCAGTCATTCCAAATGAGAAGCCATCCAGTGCCCATCAACAGCAGATCTCCTGTGTTCTATTCTTACCATGGAACACAGTGCAGCAATGAGAATAAATGAGGCACAGCTCACTGGACAAGACAGATGACATAGTAATGTGAAAACCATAGTCGTGACTCAGCATCAATCATTATTAGGAAAATGCAAATCCAAACCACTATCTGATACCACCTCACACCCACTAGGATGGCTACTATCAAAAGATCAGATAGTAACAAGTGTTGGCAAGGATGTGGAGAAACTGGAACCCTTCCTTGTGCACTGCTGGCAGGATGATAAGATGGTGTAGTTGCTGTGGAAAACAGTATGGCAGTTCCTCAAAAAATTAAAACCAGAATTACCAATAATCCCTCCCCTGGGTATATACCTAAAAGAATTAAAAGCAAGGTCTCAAAGAGATACTTGCACACCCATGTTCACAGCAGCATTATTCACAGTAGCTGAAATGCGGAAGCAAGCCATGTGTCCATCAATGAATGGAGTACCAAGACGTGGTATTTGCATACAGTAGAACTTGATTCAGCCTTAAGCCTGAATTCCCTTAAAAAGGAGGGAAATTCAGACAAGTGATAAAATATGGGTGAACCTGAGAACATTATGTGAAGTAAATCATTCACAAAAGGACAAATACTGTGTTATTCCCCTTATATGAAGAACCTGGAGTATTCAAATTCACAGACAGAAAGTAGAATGGTGGCTGCAAGGAGCTGGGGACAGGGGAGATGGCAAGTTAGAATTGAATGGGCACAGAGTCTCAGCTTTGCAAGATGGAAAGTGTTCTGGAGATGGATAGTGCTGATGGTTGCACGATAATTGAAATGAATGTAATGCTGCTGAACTGTGTGCTTTAAAAATGAAGACAGGAAATTTTATGCTAAGTGTATTTTATGAAATGTTTTAAAAATTAGAAGACAAAAAAAATCATCAGAAACAAAAGAAGCCAAACCCCAGAGTGCACACTGCATGACTCCATGTATGTAAAGTTAAAAACAGGTCAAACGCATCTGTGCTGTTAGGCCGGGACATGGTTCCCTTGGTGGGTCAGTGACTGGAAGGGGCTCAAAGGCTTCTGGGGTCCTGGTAACACTGTGTCTCTCCCCCAGCACTGCTTACCCAGTTATGTTCCTCTTGAGAAAATTCACTGAACTGTACACTTATGACTTGTATGCTTTTCTGCATGTTACTCTTAAATAACATTAGCAAAAAGAAAGAAAAGAAATCAGAGAGAGAATGATCTAAAACAATACATGACAAGACACCAAATGAGGAATAGAGGGAGAGAGGAAGGAGGCAGAGGAACTTCTGAGAAAATCTATGAAAACTAAATATATCACTAGGCTAAGAGGTTCCTGGCAGCCCAGGCAAAGAAGGGAAGGAGTTGAGATCCATAAAGCTGTCTACACCACGGCACAGTAACTGGAGAAACAGACTTGTGCCAGCCCCTAAGCTCTACAAGGTGCGTGCCTGACTCTTTGGAGTGTCTGACATTATTCACACCCACTGTGCAGAGACCTTCCCTGCAGGGTGGCTTGTGGGGTGTTCCAGGGGCAAGATGCCAAAGCTCCATGTCCAGGCTTGGGACTTCTCAGAGACCTGGGCACTGAGCCAGCTAAAAGTGGGGCTCCATTTGTCTTACTTAGCTTCCCACCCAGGGGCTATTTTGGAATAAGATACATCGGTCCCTGATACAGTGCCTGGCACAGAGCAGAACACAGTAAATGCTCCTCCTCACCCTGCTTGACCCAAAAACAAAGTGTATAAAACCTGAAAGGTGAAGACTCTTCCTTTGAGAACACATGCCCGCGTGGGCTACACCTGCTGGATACCAGCAATGCTTTAGGGAGAAGTGTGTACGCACATGTGTGCATGTAGTGTGGGCTTGTGTGTGCATGTGTGTGCACATGTGCTGGATGTGCGCTTATAAACGTATGTGCATATGTGTGCTTGTGGGCTTGTGTGTGCATGGGTATGCACACTTCGGGGTGGGGGGGGGGCACCTGAGTGTGAGGAGAGTGCCGAAGTAGCTACACACGGTGTTGTGGTGCCAGGTGCTGTTCTGAGCATTTTACACTCATCAGCACATTTAATCCTACCCATCTGATAACTTAGGGACTGTCACTATCACTGTAACCATCAACATCATTATCTTGACTTTTGCCTGTTCAGTTTGTAGGATGTTTGAACGGAGAGGCATGGGGGCTTAAGAATGTGCCCAAGTTCACTCAGCATGCATGACAGGGACAACGGTCCAACCCAGGCAGTCTGGCTCCAGGTATAGGGAATGTACTCAGCCACATGGCTGCTTGGCACCCATGTTGGTGTGGAGATACCTATGTGAGGCATCCCCCAATCCAGCACCAGCAGTTCCTGAAAACATGGGTCATGTGAACAGACAACAGGCAGAGGTTGCAATACTAACACGAAGGGAAAGCTGCTCCCACCTGGGACCTGGTGGGCAAGACCAGGCGCCCCTGCCCAGAAATGGGACCCAAGGGGCCATTCATCAGCCTTGAGCACAGGAGGTGATCCTGCTGCAAGCTTGGCCTGCTAGCTGCCAGGGACAGCTGTGAGAAACCAGTCCGAGGAGGCTCCAGGGCCCACCACTGACAGCGTCCTGGCCTTTCCACCATCCCAAGAGTGGCCTGGGCTGGTCCAGTGACACTGAGCCCCTGCTGTCTCTCACCTCAGTCAGAGCTCAACATCTGATGCCTAACAGTGGGCCACACAGGTCCACAGATGTGCCTGTTTAGCTCACATGATGTTTGAAACATTTTTAAATTAGTTATTTATAATCAAGAGATTTCATATACAAATCTGGATTCCCAGCTTCTCTTAAAAAATCCAGACGTGGTGACACCAGGCCTGAGTTCCAAAAAAAGCAACAATTGCAGAGCTCAGTAGCATCTGTGCCCTTTTGATAGGACTCACACTTGCTACTTCTCCGCAGTCTCCACCATCCCCTCTCACTTCCAACCTGGCCCATGCTCCTCTCATGTGGTCTTGACAGGTATTCGTTCACCTCTTCTGCTTTGACCTCTGGGGCACAGACTTCCCCCAAGGACACTGGGGCCAGGATAAGTAGGAAAGGTAGCAATGGGAAGCTACACCTCTCAGGACCAGAGGCCTCTGCTAGGACCTCAAATGAGCAGGCAGAGGGCATCCAGGAGGAAGTGCCCATGGGCAGAGGGTCCCATGAGGGGAGGGGCTGACCTGGCAGTGCCCCTGGTGCCTGCCGCCTGCCTCCTGCCTCCCTCCCCTTTCCTCCAGCTCTGCCCACTGCTTGAGTGGCATGAATCCGTCTGCCTTCATGGGCCTGTGAGTGGGTAGGGCCTTCTCCCTGGGTAGCGCTTTCCTCTTCGGTCTGGGCAAATTTCCCACTAGCCCTTGGAAGAAAGCTCAGAAGTCCCTGCTACGTGAGCTGCCCCAGATCCTCCCTTCAGCTTTCCCTCCCCTCTGTCACAGCCCTGCCTGCCACTACTCCAGACAGTGTGAGGACACTCCCCTCTGCTGGGTTGCTGAACTGCCCAGAGCCACATGCTGGGCTTGCAGCAGAGGCCAAGGAGAGCCAGTGAAGGAGGGGACCGAGCTCTCCAGGGCCGCCACCCATCTCAACTCACAGCGTTCAGCCCCACCCTCAGCTCACAGCTGACTGAAGGCCACAGTCAAGGAAGAGATACATGGGGAAAAAATTCCAAAATTCTCTCTGGAAGCCCATGGAGCATGGGTAATTCCACCCAGCCATCTCTTGGCTCCAGCCCGGCCTGCTGTCCCATCTCCTACCCCCAAAACTCCTGCTGTCTGTCTGTCCATCCACCTTTCCATAACCCCTATACTTTGTGCCTGGCCCCACTCTAGGAATTAGAGAGCTGCCCTGAAGGCTGTAAACATATAAATCTCCCTGGGGCCTCCCCTGCTCCCTGTTCCCCCACACACATCGTCCTCAGGATAAAGCCCAAACTTGGCAAGCAGGCAAGGCCCTGCCCTACTCCCTCCACCAGACCCTAGGGGTGCAGAGCCTGGGCCAGCCCACCATTTGTACAGTGCCTGCACATCCAAGCAGCTCCCAGCCCCAGCACAACCACTACCCTTCTGCTCCCCCATGGCGCCTTCCTGAACACTTTCCCAAAACAGGGATGGAAGAGCCAGGAAAGGGACATCCACAGGGTCCTGGGCACTTCTAGAGAGAACAGGTTCAGGGAGGAGGTGATGCTGAAGCCAACGTCTAAAGATGAGCAGGAAGAAGCCAGGTAGGCGGGTGGGGGTGCAGGGCACATGATGGAGGAGCATGGGCGTCAGAGGGCAGGGGTGAAGGAGCATGGTTGGCAGCACCCTGCCCTGGCATGGTGGGGCTGAGGTGGGGACACGGGAAAGTAGGCGATGTTCAAGGCCAAAGGTCACAGAGACAAAGATTCTGGGTCTGCACCAGCACTGGTCTGGTGGACGTCCTGGCTAACCCACTGAGGAGAGGAGCTGCCTCCCTTTCCTGGGGCTCAGTCTCTCCATCTATGAAATCTATAAAATGGGAGGATCACACCTGTCTTTAGGGGGTGCTATGAGGGCGAGACTTCCCTGAGGCCCAGCCCCCAGGTACCACCAGGCTGCAGACTGGCCCCACATTCCCAGCTGGCCACTGGAACCCTTGGAGGGGAGCTGCCAGGAGCTGTGAGGTCTCATTCCAGCTTAGCCTCCCAAGAGGCTTCCTTCCCCGCGGCCCTCCTGTGGGAGGCACCCTGTGCTGGGGCTTCTGGGCCCGGCCTCCCTTATTAGGGGCCCCACCAATCCCTCCCCTCATCAGGGTCTCTCAGGAGCCTGGCAGGGCCTGCCCCCGCCTGGCTGAACTCCCTCAGCTCTCCTGGCACCCTCGGAGGGGAGCCTTGCCAAAAACTAGTTCCAGTAGGTTTGTCAGCTCCCTGGAAACCCAGCCATCGTGTGGGTTCCTCGAGGTCCCAGCCCATGCTCTTTACAGAGCACTGGCTCTGCCACCGCAGGGGAAACTGGCAGAGGCTGCCTCTCCTCTTGATGAACTTGCTGCCAGGCCTCCCCCGCCAGCGTTCCCCTGGCAAAGCCGTCCCTCACTCCCCTCCCCGGGAATCCCACACCGGAGAGGAAGCCCAGGCAGAGCAGTCCGCTGGCTCCAATCCGCGTCCTCTATGACCCTGGGCACTGTCCTAAGCCTCTCTGAGCTGGGCTTGGCCACCTTCCGGGGTGTGAGCGTCCACGGGAGATCGACCACACCAGGCACCCAGGAGCAAGTGCTTTGAAATGCGGCTTTCTCCGGACCTTGCAGGGTCAATTCCTGGACAGGTTCTGCCTGCCCCTGAGTCCCACCCCGAAGGCCGCATCAGGGAAGGGAGACCTGGGATTCCCTCTTGGAGCTGATCCCGGAGCAGAGTGCAGCTGCGCAGCAGGTCTGCTTCAGTCATATGCCTGCTTTTCACTCTTACAGGAGCGGGCAATGACATAGTCTGGGAAGAGGCACAATGAGGAAAGTAATTCTAAAATTCTCTCTAGAGACTCCCAAACTTTGGGTAATTGGGTAATTCCACAGTTTCCCTCTTGGCTCCAGGCCTTTCTGCTCTCGGGTCCCCTGTACCCCAAAACTCACCATCTTCCATGCAACCACCCCACCCTTTGTCCGTCAGTGCAGGGACTCACTGGCCGGCCAACTCTGTCACTTCCAGGCTCTGCGCTAAGTATTAGGGAGCTTCAGAATTGCCCCCAGGGCTGTAAGCGGTAAGATCCACCAGCCAGCCGGCACAGCTGAAAACTCTCCTGCTCCCCACCCGTCCAGGCCTGGAGGAGCACAGTAGAGGCTAAGCTCACCTGGAAGGGTCCTGCCCTGGGCAGTCCACCCCAGGGCAGAAGTGATTCCCTCCTCCTGGGGCCGCCGGTCCCACACCCCTTCCTGTGGCCCAGGTAGGCTTGGGGTCAGAGCCCGAGGCTCGGATCCCGCTGTGTCCCCTCCGTAGTTCGGGGTGGGGAGGGATCCTTTGCAAGTCCCTGCGCCCCCCCCCAGACTCTAAGTCCTCGTCTCTACATGCGGGACGCCCACAGCCAGCAGGAGATTGAAGGACGCCTCCGGTCCCTGTTTCTTCCCTCGGACACGCACGACCCTCGCCCCCTGGGAACCGTCCCGCAGCACCAGATCCGCGGTGACACCCAAACTCCCCCAGGCTCCCCGCCGACCCCCGCGAGACGCATGCGCGGCGCTCTCGCCCGCTGCGCCGGTCCCAGCTTCGAGCGCCTCTATGGCCCGGAGACGCAGCTTCTCTGGCGGGCCCGGGGGCGCCCGCACCCCGTCCCGCCCCTACCTGGGGCGGCGGGCGCGCAACAAGCGGGCAAGCGGCAAGGCGGCCGCGGGCAAGCGCTGCATCCCGGAGTAGGCCCGCGCGGCCGGCATCAGGCCCATGGCGCGCCTATCGCGGCGGCGCGGCGGCGGCTGGAATGCCCGGCACGCGCGCAGGTAGCGTCTTGCCCGCCGCCCGCCCGCCCCGGCCAGCGCCGCCCCAGGCCCGGACCCTGAGGCGAGGGAAGGCCCAGGATCTGTGAGTTGCCTGGAATGCCACGCCCGAAGTCGGCCCCCGTGGGGGATCTCCGGTGTCAAACTTCACACCCTTTCCCCTAATGCCCCACGTTCCCGGGCACCGCAGGAATCCCTTCCCTCTTTGCCCAGGACCTGCTTTGGAGCGCCCGCTTAACCCTTCGCCTGGGAAGCAGGTGTTCCAGGTGAGGCAATGGAGGTCCAGGGAGGTTAGGTAACTGAGTCTGGGTCACCCAGCAAGGAGGAGGTGCTGGCTTCACAGTGGGGGTCCAGGCTCCAGGCCCTTCTGGCCTCTTCCTGCCTGGGCATCCTAGTGCCAGAGATATTGGTTTGGACTTGACATACAGTATGCCCCTGAGCAGTCTGAGGGGTATTAGCTTCCCTATATTACAGAGAATCAGAGAGGTTGTGTGATTTGCCTAAGGTCATACAGCTGGTGATGGACCTTCATTAACACCTACATGATCTTTCTGCAAAGCCTGTATTCTTCTTGGGTTAGGTTTCTGAGACCAGCCCACAATCCCCATACTTCCAAAGGGTGAGGGCTGGAATGGGTACACCAGGAAGGCAGGTGGACAGAGAGGCACGGCTAGGGGCAATGCAACGCCAGTAGCAGGGATGGGAGTCCCAAGGGTAGGAGGGCAGAATTCTTTTTTTTTTTTTAGCTTGTACTGAATATTTATTTCACACAGTAGCTGACCAAAGGTGCAGACATAATTGGAGTAACACTTGTTAGAAGAAAAATACTGTGAGTTACTAGTGAGTCCGGAATATAATACTTGAAAAAGAAAACATGGTTCAGCAAGTTATGGGTCAAGTGATAATCAGGGTGACTTCTTTCTTTATTGAATATTATTTTCCAAAACTCTGGAAAAATCGTATGTGAAAATAAATGCATGCATATTGGAAATTTCTAGTAAGGACCTGCTAGAGCTAAGCAGCCTGGGTTGAGCTAAGCCTGAGTTTAAGACCAGCTTTGTCATTTGCAAGGTGCTTACTCTGGGAAAAGTTGCTTAGAGGGCAGAATTCTTAAGGGAGGGATTTGCGGCCCTGGGGCTGGAAGAGGCTGGGGCCCTTCTTCAAGCTGGACGTGCAGAGCTGGGTCACGCCTCTTGCTCATTCTAGGCAGAGCCTGGCCTAGGGTGAAACAAGCCAGGCACTCACCACAGGGGCACAATTTAAGGGGCACCCAAAACCTCACTCAGTAACTAGGATAAACACTTTATTGTAATACTTTTAAGAATAAATATTAGGCAAAAAATCTTTGATGAACAAAAGATCAAAGTTTTCAATACAGAAAGGAGCAGCTATGCACTTGCACAGGCCTTGAGGGTGAGTGCCTCCCACCCCAATCCCACCACATTCCTGCCTTTATTTCACATGTTTGCATTTGACCATGGATGTGGTTGGCTGAATAATGCCCTTCCCCACAAGATGTCCTGATCCCTGGAACCTGTGGCTGTGTTATCTTACACAGTACAAGAGACTTTGTAGGTGTGATGAGGGCTGGAGAGGTTAACCTGGGTTATCTAAGGGGCCAGGTGCAATCATAGGGGTTCTTTTACCAGGAAGGCAGAAGGAAGTTTGACCACAGTGGAGGCGGTGGGGGCAGGACAGAGGCAGAGACTGCAGTGCTGAAGCCGCAGCCAAGGCCTTGCTGTAGCCCCTGGAAGGTTAAAGATACAAGGAACTGCTTCTCCCCATGTCCTACAAGAAACCAGTCCTGCTGACATCTGGATTTTAGCCTTAGAAGACTGGTTATGACTTCTGACCTCCAGAACTAGAAGATAATCACGTTGTGTTGTTTTAAGCTGCCAAATTTCTGGCAGTTTGTTAGAGCTGCAATGTGGACCTAATATAAGGATATTTTAGTATTCATGTTCATTTTTTAAAAGATTACAATAAAATATCTTGATTACTGAGTTTTTTTGGTGCCCCCTTACATTTTGTGCCCCAGGCCAGTGAGGATCCCTAGTCCTGGCCCTGACACTAAGTATGGGGGCTAAGGTCCTCAAAACTGGGAGTGGGGCCGCGGAGCTGTTTTCTCCCTCCCCAGAGCTCAGGTGAACATGAGGGTGCCAGGGCAGGTTGGTGCAGGGTGTCACAAGCCAAGGAATGTCTGCCCTCCACCTACCAACAGAGCCTGGCATTCCCACGGCCCAGGGACCTGCCAGCTCTGAGCAGCCCTGTCCATGTTAAAGAGCAGGGGCCAAGGGCTCAGCAGAAGCTCTCACCAACCAGGGGCCGGCAGGCTTCTCTCAGGTGGGCAGGCAGGGTCTGCTGCCCACATGTTTTCTCTGCTCTGAGCCATGGTTTCCCTGCCTGTGTCTTCAGAGTCAGACTGGCCAGTCTCTGCAGAGTGCCCTCCACCCCTACCCAGGAGCCCCACATGGCTAGAGGCCTGCAGGCACCACCCATTAGAAGGCTCCGGCAGGCACTGCCACATTGAGCTCCAGGTGAAGCCCTGGCCCTGCCAATGCCCACCCCACCTCAGGGGTGGTTTTTAGCTGTGGGGCCTGTTGGGGATGGGAGTGCAGAGACAGTCATGAGACTGCCTTCTCAGGGCAGGGCTGGGGAGCTGACAACCTGAGTCTGTCCAATCACACAAGCAACCCAGTTAACAGTTGGCCTCTTCACTCTGGATGGTCTTTGTCTCTGAGCTGTGTGTACAACAGCTCCCTGGCTAGGGCTGGGATCCAGGACCTTAGGGACTGCCTCTTCCTTCAGTCTTAATTATGCCCCCCTCCCCAACCAAGACAACTCAGATCTAGTGGGTAGAATGCGCTGAGGCCTACCTGGCAACAGCATCCAGCGATGAGCTTACCCTGGAGGTGGGCTGCGCTGCCCCCAGCCCCACTGTGTGTTGTTAGGTAAGTTGCTGAACCTCTGAGTCTCTGCTGCCTCCAGATTGTACCAAACTCCTGGCAAGGGCAGCCCATAGCCAGTGTGAGCTCCCTTCCTCTTCTCTCAGGGTGTGTGGGCTGAAGTCCTCCAGGGCCACTTGGAACAAGCTGAGAGACAAAGATCCCAACCCTAGGACACCCTGAGGCTTTCTGGCATCCTGCTCTCTACAGCAGGCAGCCAGCACCCAGGCTCTGCACTCCAGCCGACTAGGTTGAAATGCCAGCTTCCCACTTATTTGTGGTCTGGACAAAATGCTGGAGCCTCCTTGATTCTGTCTCCTCACCAAAAGTGGGATATAATGGGACTGGTTTCACAGGGCTATTGTCAGGCTCAGCAGGGACACAGAGTCCAGGATAGGAAATGCTGGGGTCCCCAGGGGTTCATCCCCATCTTATCAATAATGGAGACAAACTCTTTTCTGGTTCTGTGATCTGAGGTCTATTGAAGCCAGACTGAAACCAAACTGGCCAAGCTGATGGGCATTTCTCATCAGAGCTGCTGAGAAGGAAGGGCTTAATGAACCAGCAAGGTGGTTAAAAGAGTGTTGAACGTTAGCGTCCTGACCTTTGCAGGAAGCAGTAGTGACAGCCCCCTGTAAATCATCCCGACTAGCTTACCAGGCTCTCCCTAGATAAGGCAGCTGCTCGGGCCTTTGTTCTGGTAAACAGCTCTGTGGCTGTCCCATCAGCAGGGGTGGGGGAGGGTGGCTGTGGCTGGAGGCCATTTCCTCTGCCTTGGGGATCCAAGTTCTCAGGCTCCTGGGGCTCTGGCAGGGGAGAAGCCTTGAGCGCTGCAGGGGAAGGAGGCCCAAGTGTGCTCTGAACACCCTCTATACCCAGAAGAGGCCAGGCCTGCCCTCTATGAGCCTGGACAGGATCCAAGGTCCATAGGGACATCTTCTCCACTTGAGTACATGGACCCTTAGGGCCCACTAGAATGGATGGAAGGCACCAGAACTAGTCTCAAGTACCCCTTCTGCTGGCTTAGTGACCTGAGGCCTAGCCCAGGTCTGCAAGAGTCCTTTCTCTCCCCTTTTGGAAGGGCTGCCTGGAAAAGCCCAGGCCCACTGGCCAGGCAGGTTGACATTCACAGGAACTAGAAATAAGACTGTCT
Organism: Homo sapiens; assembly: GCF_000001405.40. NCBI lineage: Eukaryota > Metazoa > Chordata > Mammalia > Primates > Hominidae > Homo > Homo sapiens. Next base: position 48,470,823 of record NC_000010.11, read on the forward strand.
TCTTGAATCTCCCAGGAGGGCTGGGATATAGAGCAAGCAGTGCTGGGGAGAAGTGGTCCACTAGGACCTTGGGCTCTACCACTGGCAGCCTGGCCTGGGGGTAATCACCTTTCACTCTGAATCTGATTATGCCTCCAGGGCTTCCTTTTAGAGATGTCATTCCATCAAATGATGACCACTACCAGCTAACAAGGTTGCATTTCATCCCACCAGGTTGTCCCAAGGTTGGATTTTTTTCCATGTCACATGTCCTGCCCTAGGGCTTCAGGGAGCTGTATTTCTCCCTTCTTTTTTCCACCCATGATTCCAGAGGAACCCAAGGGCAGGAGAGTTGACTCCTGGGGGTCTGAGAAAAGCCTCCAGAGGCCTGTGAGATTCCCACACAGCCAGGCCAGGGCAGTGCAGTTCCGATGATGACCACAGGCCTACTGCCTGTCTCCGGCCCCCATGCCCCGCCCCAGCACCAAGCAGTCACTCTGGGCAGGGACACCTTTTCCCAGCTGGGCTCCTAGCCCCAAGACTGCCTTCTGCGCTGCCACTGGTAAGGTTGGGACAAACAGCTTCAGGGCTTTGCTTGGCGGTGCCTGCTGGCCATAGTGGAACTGTTACCACAGTGCTAGTTAGCACCAGTCCCAGCCCCCAGACTTCTGAATCCAACTGCCCGCTCAGCATCTCCACTGGTTTAATGACTCATAGACACCTCAAACCTAAACGTGTCCAAACAGAGCTATGGCCTTGCCATAGCCTCCCAAACCAGCTCTGTGCTAAGTCTTCCCTTCTTACTTCATAACAACTCCAGCCTCCAGATGCCCAGCCAGACACCATGGAGTTAGCCTCCACTGCGCCCTTCCTCACATCCACAGCCAGGAGAGCTTATCATCCTACTTGCAAAATAGATTTGGAATCTGATCACTTTCACTACCCTGACCACAGGGAGAGCACCCCCTTCTCTTGCCTGGATTATTGCAAATTCATCTCCAGCTCCCCCTTGTACAACTCTGGTCAGCAGGCAGAGTGGTCCTCTTAAATGATGTATTACATCAAGACATTTCTCGGCTCAAAGCCCTCCAATGCCCCCTCCTCATTTCAGAGTAACAGCAGCTGGGCCAGGTGCGGTGGCTCACACCTGTAATCCCAGCACTTTGGGAGGCCGAGGTGGGTGGATCATGAGGTCAGGAGTTGGAGACCAGCCTGGCCAAGATGGTGAAACCCTGTATCTACTAAAAATACAAAAATTCACTGGGTGCGGTGGCGGGTGCCTGTAATCCCAGCTACTCGGGAGGCTGAGGCAGGAGAATCGCTTGAACCCGGGGGGGAAGAGGTTGCGTTGAGCCCAGATAGCATCACTGCACTCTAGCCTGGGTGACAGAGCAAGACTCAGTCTCAAAAAAAGAAAAAAAAGAAAAAAAGAGTAACAGCGGCTGGGTGTGGTGGCTCATGCCTGTAATCCCAGCACTTTGGGAGGCCGAGGCAGGTGGATCATTTGAGGTCAGGAGTTCGAGACCAGCCTGGCCAACATGGTGAAACCCCTGCTGTACTCAAAATGCAAAAATTAGCCGGGTATGGTGGTACGTGCCTGTAATCCCAGCTACTCAGGAGGCTGAGGCAGAAGAATTGCTTGAACCTAAGAGGCAGAGGTTGCAGTGAGCCAAGATTGTGCCACTGCACTCCAGCCTGGGCAACAGAGCGAGACTCTGTCTCAAAAATAAAATAAAATAAAATAAAACAAAATAAAATAAAATAACAGCTAGAGTACTAAAAGGGGCCCAGGAAGCCTCTACCTTCTGGCCACTCCCATGTGGCTCCCTTCCTCACTCCCTCCAGCCCATCTGCCTCTGTGCTGCTTCTAGACCACATCAGATGTTCTGCTTTTGCCCAAGCTATGGCGTCAGTCTAGCACACTTCCACTAGATGTCCCCTTGGCTCACTCTCTCACCTCTTTCAACACCGTATGAACAATGAGATAACACTTCATACCTGTTAGGATGGCTATTAAAAAAAAAACCAAAAAAAACAGAAAACAAGTGCTGGTGAGGATGTAGATGAACTAGAAAACTTGTGTACTGCCAGTGGGAATATAAAATGGGGCAGCCACTGTGGAAAATGGTCTGGAGGCTCCTCAAAAAATTAAAAATAGAATTACCATATGATCTAGCAATCCCACTTCTGGGTATATACCCCAAATAATTGAAATCAGGGACTCAAAGAGATATTTGCACCCTCATATTCACAGCAGCATTATTCACAATAGTTGAAACACAGAAGCAACTCAAGTGTCCATCAATGGATGAATGGATAAACAAATGTGGTATATCCATACAATGGAATATTATTTGAGCTTAAAAAAGAGAGAAATTCCAATATTCCACATAGATGAAACTTGAGAACATTATGCAAAATGAAATAAGCCAGTCACAAAAAGACAAATACTACAGGATTCTACTTACATGAGGTGCTTAGAGCAGTCAAATTTATAAAGACAGAAAGTAGAATGGTGGTTGCCCAGGGCTGGAGGGAGAAAGCCAGAGTTTCAGTTTGGGAAGATGAAAAAGTTCTGGAGAGGGATGGTGGTGATGGTTGTACAACAGTGTGAATACACTTAATGCCACTGAATTGTACACTGTACACTGCTTTCTTCCCTGCTGAGTCCTCTGCCTGCATGTGACAGGTCTCAATAAGTGTTTAATGAATGAATGAGGACTATTTAGTACTCAGAGAACGCTGAGGACTATTTAGTACTCAGAGAGCGCTGAGCACTTTATGTCCATTTTCTCTCTTAATTCTTATGACAATCCTGCAAAAAAGATATTATTCTTCCTATTTTGCAAACAAGGACACAGAGGTACAGCGAAGATAAGAGGTGTGCCAGGTCATGCAGCAAGCAAGTGGCAGAGCCAAATCACACCTAGACCCAAGCCTGTTGCCAAAGCCTCACTCTGCCTCCTCTCACACTTCAATGCAATGGGCTTGGCTAAACCCCTTCCTATGCATATAAATTCCAGGCTTTAAGGGGGCTTGCAGACTCTCTGCAGACAACCAGGCAAGGGATACACATGTTCAAGCACCCACCAGATGCCGAGGCAGCCCTGGGGACCCGGTGACTATTGTCTCCCTTCTCTCTCCTCTCAGAGAGAGCTGGCAAGGAGGTACTGCGCCATGCATCCTTCTGGGGCTGCGTTCCCTGAACTGGGCGTGGAAGTTCAGAGATCAGTTTGAGGAGTATTGGCCTCTTAACAATATCAACTCTTCTCATTCCTGAACATGGGATGTCTTTCTTCTTATTTAGATCTTTTTCAATTTCTTTCAGCAATGCTTTGTTATTTTCAGAATATAAGTTTTATACTTTTTTTTGCTAAATTTATCCCTAAGTATTTTATTCTTTTGGATGCTCCTGTAGATGAAATTTTCTTAATTTCGTTTTCAGTTTGTTCATGGCTACTGTACACAAATAAAATTGGTTTGTATATACTAATCTTGTATCCTTCAACCTTGCTGAATTTTTAATTAATTCTAATAGTTTTTTTGTACTTTCTGTACACAAGATCACGCCATCTGCAAACAGAGATACTTTAATGTCTTCCTTTTAAATCAAGCTTCATTTTATTTCATTTTCTTGCATAATTGACCTGGCTAGAACCTCTAGTACAATGCTGAATAGAAGTGGTGAAGGCAAGAATCCTTGTCTTGTTCCTGATCTTGGAGGAAAATTAGCCAGTCTTCCTCGATTAAGTATGTTATTATCAGTGGGCTTTTTGGAGATGCCCTTTATCATAGGAATTCCCTTCTATTCCTAGGGATAGAATAGAAGTTCACTTCTATTCCTAGTTTCTGGAGTGTTTTAATCATTAAAGGGTGCTGGATTTTATAAAATGCTTTTTCTAGTCTACTAAGACGGTCATGTGTTTTTGTCCTTTATTCTGTTAATATAGTACATTAATTGATTTTCAGACATTAAATCACCCTTCCATTCTTAGAGACGATAAATCTCATTTCATCATGGCGTATAATTCTTTGGATTCAGCATGTTAGGATTTTGTGGATGATTTTTGTATCTATATCCATAAGAGACACTGGTGTTCCAGCAATAATTCTCTGTCCCTCCTACACCATCAATCTTTTGCAATGATGCTTTGTCTTCCAACTTAAAAAAATAAACCAACTTCCTCTTTACCTCACCTCCTCCTCCAGCTGCTGTCCCCATTTCTCTCTTTCCCTTTTCTGCAAACTTTTTGAAAGAGTTGGCTATGCTGACACTCCAATTCCCCTCCTATCATCCTTTCTCATTCCCACTATTATCAGGCATTCCACAAAAGCCCCTTTGCTCAAGTCACCAATGACTGCTCAGCTTTCATCCTCTGGTTGATCTATCAGCAGCACTTGGCTGCAGTTGATCACTGCCCTTGTTCCTTCACTTGGCTCAGGGTGGCTTCTGGCTCTCCTCCCTCTTGGGGCTTGCTCTCTTTCTCACCCCTCTGCTGTCCCTCCACTCGCTCTGTGCTGTCTCATTCAGCCTTATGACTTCAAACCCCATCTATGTGCTGATGGCCCCCTAAATACTCTCTCTAGCCCAGTCCTCTCTCCTGATTTCTAGGCTGAAATATCTACCTGCCTACTTGACATCTAAACTTGAGCATCTTATAGGTATCTCAAACTAGGCCCATATCTTCCTTCCAAATAGCTGCAGTTCCCGTAGTCTTTCTATCTCAGCTAACTCATTAGCTTCCCATTGCTTAGATCAAAACATCCCAGAATTATCCTTAACTTCTCTCATTCATTCTCATACACCTCTCATCCATCTTAGCAGGGGAATACCACTGGCTCTACCTTCAGAATAAATCAAGAATTCAATGACTTCTTATCGCCACCACCACTGGGCCAGGCCACCCTCACCTCTCACCTGCACTGTTGTGTAAGGAGCTCCTAACTGGCTTTGGTCTTTCCTCAACATGACAGCCAGAAGGATCCTGGTAGAAGATGGGCCAGGTTCTGCCACTTCTCTATTCCATGCCATGAGGTGCTAACAGCTCTACCATGATGACAAGGCCATTCATTCTTTGGTCTCTCTCCTCCCCTTTGCCCACTCTGCTCTGGCCACACTGGCCTCCTTGCTGTTCTTCCGGGATGGGCCCCCTACCTCTGCCTGTGCTGTTATCCACCCTTTCTTTCCTTCTACTCAAAAGTCACCAAACCCTAACCCTATCTCTTGTGTTCCCCTCCCTGCCTCTTCTGTCCCCACTGTGCCCACCATCTAACCTGCCATGTGCCTGCTCAGCTGGTCACCCGCCTCCTCTACTAGCACGTGAGAACCATGAGGCCAGTGCCTGTCCCTCCAGCTCGCTGCTGTCTCCTCAGCCCCTAGAACATTTGCGAGTCCATTGCAGGTTGGCTGAATGACCAGATGAATTCCCAAATGAGAGGCACTCCAGCTGTGGCCACAGCTTGGTGGGCTGGGCAGGCCACCAGCAGTGAGGCTCCCCTGACCACTGGCTGCTCCCACTTCTCAAGGGGATGGCTGGGCTGTCCCATCTGCAGCAGGCACGCCACCCACTCCTGTCTGTCAGAGGTGGCCTGCCGGTGCCAGAATAAGCACCCCAGGAAGGGCTCAG